>NC_000002.12:154762345-155065375 GCF_000001405.40 Homo sapiens
TGTTGGTTTAGTGACATTAATCTAGAAGTAGAGGCATTTAGAGGAGGTTCAGTCTTACCAGTTACACATTCATCATTTATACACAGGCCCCTGGAGAGTGGGCCAGGATTTAATAAGGCTAGCTGAATATAAGGGAGGTAGCCAGTTGTAATAAGGAGATTCTAGACTAGATTTTTTAAGATCTGATAGTCACTTCTTTACAGAAGTGTTCCCAGCAAAGCCAATTCTCCTCTTGGGAACTTGGTTTCCTTTTTTTAAAATAGGGTTTATAATATCTTCTATCTCAAGGAGTTGTTGGGAGAAATAAATAAAATCTTACAACTAATTCTCAAATTATATACAAAATAATATGGTAAGAGGAACTCCACTCCCTGGGGCCCACATGAAGGAAGGAGAACTGGAAAGAGGAAAACAAATTGGTAATGACAATGGATGTGAGACTCTTTTAACTGTTGCTATTACATTGAACTGGCTATTGACTTAAAAATGTAAATAGCCTCAGGTGGTTAGAGGGCTGGGAAGCTTTAAGCTACTTGGACTAGAGAAATAAAAAGCGGGTAGGGAGGAGTGGATAAAATGCCTTGTAAGTGGTCTCATGGAAAGTGCAGAGAAAATTTCATTTTACCATGAATTATCTTCTCAGATTAGAAATTTAATTTCTCCAAGCCTCAGTTTCTTCATCTGTAACGTGACAACTGCAACTGTTGTGATGATAAAGGGAAATAATATAATGACAATACCCATTCCATTATATCTGTAACTTTGGAATTCACATTTCCGACAGTCAATTTTGTGAGAACTTTATTAAAAGCATAAATATCTTAGAGTGCACCTTTTAAATTTGTTTTATATGCTGCTAACAGAATTAATCTAGTCTCTTGTCTGTGTCTACCTAATAAGGCTTAGAAGCTAATGTGCTGTCAAGAAGAAATAAACGGAATCTTTTTCTTCCCCATTGGATTTTCTCTAGGTGGGGCTGTAGTTTTCATCCTTTTAAGGTGTTTCTGCACAGGCCTAGGCTGCTTGGAATACTAGTATTTCTTACTAAGATGAATGCTTATTCTTTTCAGCTGCTTCTTTTTTTTTTTCCTGCATTACTTTTGATGGCCTGGAGGATGTGAGATAGTGCTGATCCATGTCACCATCGACCATCTATTCCGGGGACACAGAATGTGATAGGCTTTCTTTATGAGAGAAAGATTTGGAAGTAGGTACTCACTTCAGGGTCTTCCCAGCAGCTGTTAGAACACCAAGAAGCTAGAATGCAGAAGAAGAATCACTTGCAGAGTAGAGGAAAGCTAGGTTTTCCCCTTTCTACTGAAGGGAAGTATGATATGGTAGGATCTTGCATAGTGAGAGATGCTGAGAATCAAACCCCAGCTGTACCTTCTAGCTTCCAGCTTCTAGCTTCTAGCTGCTAGAGCTGGGCAAGTGACTTTTCTTTGTGTAGGCTTAGTTTTCTTTTTCTTAAAATGAAGATATTTCAGAGGTTAGATAGAAACAAGTGAAAAGATTTAGCTTTGAATGTAGCATATACAAACTAGGTATTTAACAAATACTACGTCCCTTCTTTCTCTCTGTTGTTCAAGTGCTAATATGAGGAATGATTTTTAAAGAGTCTATGCTGCATATCATAGATATTGTCTGATGGTCTATAAATTAGGATGTTGCTGATTATGTGTATCACACCTGAAATATACAGAATTGTCATTCAAACTGAGACAGTCTCTCTGTTCTCAAGTGTGATATCAATGTTAGTTGTCAGCTTACTACATGATTGAATTTCTTAAGCACGAAAAGTGCTAGCAGTATCTCCATTATATTCTGGGCTAAAATAAAGATTAAGAGTAATGAAAGTGTTTATTTAAAAGGAGCGTTAAGGGGTGAAAATATCTCTGATTATATTTTTAGAATGCCCTCCTCTCTTTTACCCTTTGGTTGTTTTGTTTTGATCAGATTAGGCTTGATCAGCCTTCAGAATCTCATGGCTGCTTAGTCGCCAACACAACCATGGTATGGCCACTTAATGACTGTGTGGACTTTTGTATAGACAACTTGCCTTCCATCCTGTATCATATTTCACAGAAGAAAATGTTGAATACTACATACAGCCTGGCATTGGCATGAATAATTAAAATAATAGCCATTAATCTTCCTTCTACTCTAAGGAATATTCAGGCACACTCACTTTTTTGATTACATCTTCTTCTAACTTTCTTGAGTGAATATTGAGAATTACTGCAATTTTCTACAGCCGGTGGTGTCCAATCTTTTGGCTTCCCTGGGCTACATTGGAAGAATAATTATTTTGGGCCACATGTAAAATGCACTAGCCCTAACAATAGCTGATAATCTAATTAAAAAAAAAGATCTGGGCATAAATCTCATAATGTTTTAAGAAAGTGTATAAATTTGTGTTGGACCTCATTCAAAGCCGTCATGGGCTGCATGCAGCCTAAGGGCCATGGGTTGGACAAGCTTGTTATCCTCCATCAACACTAGCCCTCTCTTGGATCCTTGGATGCCCCATGCTTTTTGTATTTCAAAGCCTTTGCACATATTGTTTGCTCTAGTGGAAATGGCCATTGATGCTCTCCACCCCCCAAACATACACCCACATACACACTTTTGCCTACTTAAAAACTTCTACACTTTAGAACATTATTTCTCAAGGTGGGCACGATTGACATTTAGGATCAGGTAGTTTGTCGGGGGGAAAGGGCATGAGGGCTGTGCTATGCATTTTAGGTGTTTAGCAGCATCTCTTGCCTCTACCCACCATAGTGGCTGTAGCATTCTCCAGAGCCCTAGTTATGGCAACCAAAAGAAATTTGCCAAATGTCCCATGGGGAGCAAACTCACCTTCGATTGAGAACCACTGCTTTAGAGTTTACTGCAAATGTTACTTGCTTATTAAGGAAGGCTTCTTTTATCCCCTGAAATAACTTGGCTTCTTTCAGCCCTTATTCATTCTCAAGTCATTCTATCCTATTCGTCTATCAAAGTCTCCTTTGTGGCACTTATTACCAGTTTCAACTACAGAAGGAATATTTATATACATATTTTGCATTAATTTCTCTTGCTAGAATGTAAAGCCCAAAAAGAAGTGACTTGTTCTGCCTGGTTCCCTACTGTATTTCTAGTGCCTAGCATACTGCCTTGCACATAGTTGGCACTCAGTATGCATTTGTGAACTGAATGATCTTTGATTTTGGTTCTGTTTATTCCTACTACATAAAACTAGTATTTTTGAAACTAGCGAATATTTGCAGTTATCAGAATCCTAACAGTGAATTTTGTTATTGTGATTATATTAATATTTAGCCTAGTGGTTCCTTAACTGGGTGCCACAGCACTACAGTGAACTCTTGGGACGCTGTGGAATATTTTAATCTTCAAAGAAAATACAATAACTTTACATACATCCTGGAAACTACCAGTTCTAGTTAGTTCAGTTTCAACATTATAGCACATTACATTACTTTTTCAATGTCATATCTTTGCAAAGGTGTATTTTTGACAGTTGCTGTGATGAAAAAGCAAATACTAGAAGAAAAATCAATCTGGAACAGAAAACAAGGGTAGTGATATTTAGTCTGATTCTAAGATTCCAGAAACGGTGTGGCGCCAAACAGTTGCACACACGCCATTAGTAAGTAACCGTGGTTACTAAAGAATGAAATGAAATGCTATTTTTCTGTTTAAGTGTACTAGTTTTTAAAATGACTATCAGGTTGCTAAGGACATAAATAATTAGTAGGTTGCTTGAATTTAACTACTTAAGAAGTAGAACAATAGATATTTCTTTCTGCAAAAGGACGTAATGAGCAAAATTACTGAAACGGTAAGGGGGTGATGAAGTGAGAAAGTTCAGAATCTCTGCATTAACCAGTTTAACCATTTTCATTCTAACCACTTTCTTTTTATAGACACTATTTTGCATTTCCTTATGTAAGCAATAATATATTTTAACAGGTCTGAGTGTAGTATATTCATGCCATGATATATCATTGTGACCTGTAGAATATATGGCAAGAAACTTAGGAAAGATAAAGGTTGCAGGTTTTCTTCTGCTGTGATGCTGAAGCTCAATATTCAAAGAAACCGGTATTGATTTTAGAGGCTTTTCCAGGTTACCCAAAGTGGATAAAAGAAATTTTAATAAAAATGATCCATAATTATTTATATATTATTTATTTGTTTATTTATTTTTATTTTATATATTTTTTGAGACGGAATCTCACTCTGTCACCCAGGCTGGAGTACAGTGGCATGATCTTGGCTCACTGAAACCTCCACCACCGGGTTCGACTGATTCTTCTGCCTCAGCCTCCTTAGTAGCTGGGACTACAGGCACATGCCATCATGCCTGGCTAATTTTTGTATTTTCAGTAGAGATGGGGTTTCACCATATTGGACAGGCTGGTCTCGAACTCCTGACCTCGTGACCCGCCCACCTCGGCCACCGAAAGTGCTGGGATTACAGGCATGAGCCACTGTGCCTGGCCTAATTTTTATTTTTATAGGGGCCATCTATCTGTTAATGCCGAAACTAAACTGTAATGCTGAGTAGATGTTAGACTTTATCACTGTATCTGCCAGAGGGTTACTAAGCTACTCACAAGTTATTAATATCTAGATATTAATACTAGATAAGACTCTTAGAAGAATTTATTTGGAATAGGTCTTAACTGTCACTTTTAATTCAACTATAAATCTCTTTTTGTCTTTTCAGTAATTTTCACTCATTTGTACCACAGGTTTCAAAAATGGAATTGTAATTAAATCAGTTATTTTAGCTGAGAATGCAAATTGTGCTAACTGCTAGTACATTCTTTACCTTTTTTTTTAAAATTATACTTTAAGTTCTAGGGTACATGTGCACAACGTGTAGGTTTGTTACATATGTATACATGTGCCATGTTGGTGTGCTGCACCCATTAACTTGTCATTTACATTAGGTATATTGCCTAATGCCATCCCTCCCCACTCCCCCCACCCCATGACAGGCCCTGGTGTGCGATGTTCCCCATCCTGTGTCCAAGTGTTCTCATTGTTCAATTCCCAACTATGAGTGAGAATATGCAGTGTTTGGTTTTCTGTCCTTGTGATAGTTTGCTGAGAATGATGGTTTCCAGCTTCATCCATGTCCCTACAAAGGACGTGAACTCATCCTTTTTTTATGGCTGCATAGTATTCCATGGTATATATATGCCACATTTTCTTAATCCAGTCTATCACTGATGGACATTTGGATTGGTTCCAAGTCTTTGCTATTGTGAGTAGTGCCACAATAAACATACGTGTGCATGTGTCTTTATAGCAGCATGACTTATAAACCTTTGGGTATATACCCAGTAATGGGATGGCTGGGTCAAATGGTATTTCTAGTTCTAGATCCTTGAGGAATTGCCACACTGTCTTCCACAATGGTTGAACTAGTTTACAGTCCCACCAACAGTGTATAAATGTTCCTATTTCTCCACATCCTCTCTAACACCTGTTGTTTCCTGACTTTTTAATGATTGCCATTCTAACTGGTGTGAGATGGTATCTCATTGTGGTTTTGATTTGCATTTCTCTGATGGCCAGTGATGGTGAGCATTTTTTCATGTGTCTGTTGGCTGCATAAATGTCTTCTTTTGAGAATGTCTGTTTATATCCTTCACCCACTTTTTGATGGGGTTGTTTGATTTTTTCTTGTAAATTTGTTTAAGTTCTTTGTAGATTCTGGATATTAGCCCTTTGTCAGGTGGGTAGATTGCAAAAATTTTCTCCCGTTCTGTAGGTTGCCTGTTCACTCTGCTGGTGGTTTCTTTTGCTGTGCAGAAGCTCTTTAGTTTAATTAGATCCCATTTGTCAATTTTGTCTTTTGTTGCCATTGCATTTGGCATTTTAGTCATGAAGTCTTTGCCCATGCCTATGTCCTGAATTGTATTGCCTAGGTTTTCTTCTAGGGTTTTTATGGTTTTAGGTCTAACATGTAAGTCTTTAACCCATCTTGAATTAATTTTTGTATAAGGTGTAAGGAAGGGATCCAGTTTCAGCTTTCTACATATGGCTAGCCAGTTTTCCCAGCACCATTTATTAAATAGGGAATCCTTTTCCCATTTCTTGTTTTTGTCAGGTTTGTCAAAGATCAGATGGTTGTAGATGTGTGGTGTTATTTCTGAGGGCTCTGTTCTGTTCCATTGGTCTATATCTCTGTTTTGGTACCAGTACCATGCTGTTTTGGTTACTGTAGCCTTGTAGTATAGTTTGAAGTCAGGTAGCATGATGCCTCCAGCTGTGCTCTTTTGGCTTAGGATTGTCTTGGCAATGCGGGCTCTTTTTTGGTTCCATATGAACTTTAAAGTAGTTTTTTCTAATTCTGTGAATTAAGGCATTGGTAGCTTGATGGGGATGGCATTGAATCTATAAATTACCTCAGGAACTATGGCCATTTTCACGATATTGATTCTTCCTATCCATGAGCATGGAATGTTCTTCCATTTGTTTGTGTCCTCTTTTATTTCCTTGAGCAGTGGTTTGTAGTTCTCCTTGAAGAGGTCCTTCACGTCCCTTTAAGTTGGATTCCTAGGTATTTTATTCTTTTTGAAGTAATTGTGAATGGGAGTTCACTCATGATTTGGCTCTCTGTTTGTCTGTTATTGGTGTAGAGGAATGCTTGTGATTTTTGCACATTGATTTTGTATTCTGAGACTTTGCTGAAGTTGCTTTTCAGCTTAAGGAGATTTTGGGCTGAGACAATGGGTTTTTTTAGATATACAATCATGTCATCTGCAAACAGGGACAATTTGACTTC
This sequence comes from Homo sapiens, assembly GCF_000001405.40. Lineage (NCBI taxonomy): Eukaryota > Metazoa > Chordata > Mammalia > Primates > Hominidae > Homo > Homo sapiens. Next base: position 154,769,151 of record NC_000002.12, read on the forward strand.
CTCTTTTCCTAATTGAATACCCTTTATTTCTTTCTCCTGCCTAATTGCCCTGGCCAGAACTTCCAACACTATGTTGAATAGGAGTGGTGAGAGAGGGCATCCCTGTCTTGTGCCAGTTGTCAAAGGGAATGCTTCCAGTTTTTGCCCATTCAGTATGATATTGGCTGTGGGTTTGTCATAAATAGCTCTTATTATTTTGAGATACGTCCCATCAGTACCTAATTTATTGAGAGTTTTTAGCATGAAGGGCTGTTGAATTTTTTTGAAGGCCTTTTCTGCATCTATTGAAATAATCATGTGGTTTTCGTCTTTTGTTCTGTTTATATGATGGATTATGTTTACTGATTTGCGTATGTTGCACCAGCCTTACATCCCACGGATGAAGCCCACTTGATCATGTTAGATAAGCTTTTTGATGTGCTGCTGGATTCGGTTTGCCAGTATTTTATTGAGGTTTTTGTGTCGATGTTCATCAGGGATATTGGTCTAAAATTCTCTTTTTTTATTGTGTCTATGCCAGGCTTTGGTATCAGGATGATGCTGGCCTCATAAAATGGGTTAGGGAGGATTCCCTCTTTTTCTATTGATTGGAATAGTTTCAGAAGGAATGGTACCAGGTCCTCTTTGTACCTCTTCTTTACCTTTTTTTAATGGACTCTATATACTATCCCAACATTCTGTGGTTATATGACAATGTTGGGATAGTATATACAGAAATGGGTGGAAGGAAAGCTTTATGAATCCCAAAACTAATAATAAATTTTGCTTATTGGTATCATTCCTCCTTTGATAGTTTTAATGAAAAGTTTTCAGTAAAAAATTCAAGCCTTTTAAAAGACATTTTAAATAAGATGATTATATCTTCAGCACTATGTTATTACTGGTTCTGAAAAAGTATTTCTAATGATAGATTAAGTTTCAGAATGAGTTGCACACCTTAACTGAGGAGACAAGTATGTCATCGGGAGCCAATTCAACAATCTACAATTCTCAGTATCAAACATATTTGCCACAAAATTTATAATCATGAGCTTTACTTTGCTTCATTACACCTTCTCCTTAGCACATAGCTTCCATTTAACTGCCCTCTGAACAATCTTCTTTGAAATCCCAGATATTGTACACTAAAGTAATTTGTGAAGAATTTGTATCACTGGGACTTCTTAGAAAGAGGAGTAGAATTCATGTTGATGGAAATCTTCCTGGTTCTTAATTCTGTTCCGTCGTAGCTCTTGGAAACTGGGAGGAGCATTTTTGGCAGCTTGAAGAAATTTGAGAAATGGGATTTTTTTTTTTGCCGCAATTTCTTCTTTTTCTCTTTCTTTCTTGCCTGTAGTGTTTTAAGGATATATTATTGTGTAGTATCTTGATCATTTCCTTCCACTGTTATTAGATGATTTTGTGATTCAAATGAGTTGTCCTCAGTCTATTTCATTTATTACACTGCTGATTCTTTTTAAATCATAGTTTTATTGTTGTTTTGGAATTTTGAGAAGTACTTAAGAATAGGTTAGGAATCATAGGGATCCATAAAGATCCTCTAATTTTCATTCACTAGAAAAGTAGTTTTGTTACTCCTTATTGTAGTCTCTGGATGACAGCTGTTCTATAACAAAATACTCAAGACATCATTTTGAAGGTGCAAAAAGAATTTGATTTATATGATAAATTTGTGGTTGTGAAAATATTAAATTTATTTTCATAGACAGTAAGTCTCAAGATTTTTTTCTTTTTTCTTTTTCTTTTTTTTTTTTTTTTGAGATGGAGTCTTTCTCTGTTGCCCAGGCTAGAGTGCAGTGGCACAATTGCAGCTCACTGCAACCTCAGCCTCCCAGGTTCAAGTGACTCTCCTGCCTCAGCCTCCCCAGTAGCGGGATTACAGGCACACACCACCATGCCCGGCTAATTTTTGTTATTTTTCATAAAGAAGAGGTTTCACTATGTTGGCCAGGCTGGTCTCAAACTCCTGACCTCAAGTGATCTGCCCGCCTCGGCCTCCCAGAGTGCTGAGATTACAGGTGTGAGCCTCCGCACCCTCCCAAGAAGATAATTTTCAATGGTTATTTGTTAAAGGAAATTTATCTGGAAGAGGAAGGGGAAAAAAGCTATTGATTCTGTCCCCCATGTAAAACAGGGCTTTTTAATCAATGATGTTGGGACAAGTGAACAATCATCTGGAAGAGAAAATAAATTTGGATTCATCACTTACATAAGCTAAATTGCAAATATATCAAATATTTAAATATATAACCTGAAAGCATGAAAGTAGTAGATGAAAATACTGGAGAATTGCTTTATAATCATGGAGTGATCCTGTGAAAAGCTAACTTGATTTCAGTGAGCAGGAATCTAGAAGAAAGTTTAGAGCTACTGAAGTAGGGTAGCTAAAGGTATAAAAATGAGTGTGCAGAATAGGGCAGACTCAACCACGGGACTAGAGAGGTTGTGTATTCCAAAAGGTAGAGCTCCTTAAACTCTGGACCAGTTATCAAGCAATTGTGTTCCATTACAGTTGGTATTGACTGTGTCCAACATGGCTAGAATGTTTTAAGAATCCAGTAGAAAAGGGACAGTTCAATCCTGTTCAAGAGGCAAATACACTCTGGGAACTAGACAATATCGTTGAGAGATGGCAGGACAATACCTTAGATTGGGGTCATGGGTTGTACTCCTCTAACCTCAAGGGAGGAATTGATATCAGCAAGATTGAAGCACTATGCAAATTACTAAACGGATACCCTGGAGTACAATAGTGGTGGCTTCATACCCACGGTCACTTGTTACTAAGTATTAGAGTAATATGCTAGCTTGAATTCTTATTGCTTATGTTTGTAAATACTGTAATCAGAGAAACCACCCAAGGTTGAGGACATTTAACTTCATGTGTGCTAGAAACAGATGCAGGGACAGAAATGAAAGATCTGTTGTCAAGATGCTAAAAATACATAAATTGATACTGAGAAAGATGACTGACTGGCTTGAGTGAAGCCGTAAAACAACATTGACACAAACTAATAATTTGTAATGACAATTTGAATTTAAGTGAAACTCTAAATAGTGATAAATGTTTTACTAACTGTTTTGCAAAAAGACAGGGTATTTTTGTATTTTACATAGTGAATATTGTCCTGAGTGGATCGGTCTAATTTTCCTGTTCCCACTCCTTACGTATGGGATAGCACATTATAAAAAAGAGAGAGAACAAGAGATAAAGGCTGAGAGTCACTATGGCAAAGTGTTTCTTTTTTTATCTCAGTTCTTTTTTTAATTTGCTACATACTTTGGAATATATGAAAATCCTAATGTGTTTTCGTGGGTATTAAAAATACTTCATGGAATTTGTAATGATTGAAACACAAGTACTATAAAATCTACTTTTAATGTTGGTTTTGTTCTTGAAATAGGACTTTTGAAAGTACAATGCTGCATGGTCATTTTAACCTTTTACTTTCCATTTTACTTTCCCTCAAATTGTTAAAAAAGAATATGTACTGTGTAATGAATGAATGTTTACAGTATTTAATCTAGTTTAAACATTAACTGAGAAAATAAGATCATCTGAAGGCTGGGAGTCATTCTGCATTATTGTCCTTAGACTTCTGTTTTCAGAGACCATTTCTTGTAAACCTAATTAGAGATGGCTGCAGCAAACTTCAAGCCTTAGTGTCTTTACTCATCTCGGTGTCTAAAAGTCACATAAAGCTTCAATCATACAAACTGTGCAGTTAACCAAGTGTGATGATTTTTTTCCCAAAGTAATTTTATTAACTCAATTTTGTTTTAAAGTAGTATTTCCAAGTTTAAATATATTTTATTCTAGAAAAAAATCATTGGAATATTTAGTGCTGTAAGATCTACAATCCATGAATCCTTAAAAAGCAGGATTGCAAATTGCCCCGAATAGATTAATATAAAGTAGTGAAATAAATTAAGCAAGGGATAAAAAAGAAACCTTTGGTGAAAAGTTATCACATGTAATTGGGGAAAAATAGCACATTTTGACTATTGAAATTAACTGTTTGTTAATATCAATTATTTTAATGCATTTAGTCTCTGCTTTTAATGTGTAAGCATCTTGTTGCATGACTTACTATATTTCCCTACACATCATATCATAGGATTGCTTTCTTTTTGATTACCTGCTGAGATTAGTACCAAAATATAAATTTTAAGAGCATGTGTGTGTGATGGTTAAGGATGATATATATTCTTGGAGCATGGGCTGTTTTGCTTAATGGGTTGGCTTAAGTGTGATTCTGAAAATAGGAATTTGGGGGTAGATTAAAGGCAACTTTAAGATATTGGGTATGTAGGGTTTAGGGAGAGATTTCATGATCCAGAGATTAACTTTGTTCTCGGAATAATTTCTGGTGATATTTAGTTCCATGGTGCTGCCATATTCACTTGTTCTTCCACATGCCAAGGACGATTAAGCCAGTGTCATGTGAAGTCATGTTTCAATTAATGTCTTTTTATTCTGACTTTGATATCACTAGTATTCTGTATTTTAATGCTCTTTTAATAATTCAGACCTCTCTTTTTTAGGTTGCACATTTTTCATTTATGCATTTTCAGAAGTTTTGAAGGGTTATTAAATTGATTGAATGTCTGATATTCACACTTGACGCATGTCTTAATATGTAAATTATATCTACTAAAAACATTGTGTAGTCATTATGAGATGTTAACTTTCTTCGATACTTTGTCAGAGAATGACTTTTTCTTTACAAATGTATTAGTCTGTTAGCTATTTTTATGCTTACTATCCAACTTTAATACCACCAATTCATAACTGCCTGATGTTGTTAATTCTGTCCTTTCCCTGGAGTTCATATTTCCATATATATCATCCCAATGAGCTGCAAAGAAGGTTTTCAAATGTAATTTTGACATTAAGTTACCAAAGATGCATATTGCTCTCCTATTTTATTATGTTTAAAATTTCATTCAGTAATACTTTAATATCACTTCCATGTAGACTGACTCTCATTTGACAATCATAATTAGCTTCTAGCATATTATTTTACAAATGACATATATTCTCAAAATGAAACAACTCACTGGTCCAGGACAAATTCTTTAAAGGAGATTTTATAGAATAGAGCTAGTTTATTCAAATAAAAACCAATTTCCATGCCTGTAAAGTCTGCTTCATTTCATTTCATCTCCAAGACTAGTTTTACAGCACTTGGATAAAGAAAGTTATGCTCATTTACCTTTTCATCATTTGCATTGCTTCAAGTGTTTTAATGTAGCAATTTATGGTCAGAAGGGTAACTGTAACATATTATATAAAATATTTCTAAAATATTAACATCATTATTTAGAAAAAGATGATGTAATTTTTGACAAAATTTTTTGCTTAAGATTTAATTATTTAAATTAATATTTATGAAAAAAACTATTTATAGCCTTTAGAGGGGTAATCATTTTCATTGGTTTAAAGACCTTCTGCAATACAAAAATACAAATATTTTCATGAAATGTTTAAATCAAGTGGGAACACTCTATTCTGTAATACATGGAAAAAAACCTTAAAATTCTGAAGATATTAGAAACAGGGAAAAGGCAAATGCAAAGTTACTTTTATGAAATCATGATAAGCCCTTTAGGATGTTACATTTTTAAAGCTTTTATAATGACAATAACTGGGCACTTTTATGTTTAAAATTTAGATAAACAAATGTTGAAGTTATCCTTCTATTTTTGTTAACATCTCCCAATGAATTTTATTTTTACTAACTTTTCTCTTTTTTTGTTGTTTTTGTTTGGTTTGGTTTTAGAGACAGGGTCTCACTCTGTTGCCCAGGCTAGAGTGCAGTGGCACGATCATGGCTCACTGCAGTCTCTCTACCTCCTTGGCTCAAGCTATCCTCCTGTTTTAGCGTCTCGAATAGTTGGGACCACAGGCATAAGCCACCATGCCCGACTAATTTTTGTACTTTTTGTAGAGATGGCATTTCACCATATTGCCCAGGCTGGTCTCAAACTCCTAGGCTCAAGCAATCAGTCCACCTCAGCCTTCCAAAGTGCTGGGATTACAGGCTTCAGCCACTGCACCTGGCCTGTTTTTGCTAACTTTTCTTTGTTGTAAGACAAAAGAATTGCCTTCTTCATAATATTTAGTGAATATCACAAAAACTTATAAATGACATGTTTTCAGTTGGGTAGAATTAAAAAAAAATCATTTCAAAGATGCTTGGTTAATTTATTACGCTATTCTGGAATCAGTATTTTGCAGAAGAGATTTTGCTAAACCACTCATCTATATTATTTGTATCTGATTCCTGTATCATAGTGCTATTTGCTTCCCAGAATTGGGCATAATTTTTAAGATGTTTCCTTAATATGTACATTTCTTAATTTATTTTACTTTCCTAAATATCACAGACTGCTGAAAAATAAAAGATTGAGCTTACAAAGCATTTTAAGATAAGTAAACATAAAAAAATCAAATAATACCATTTACTTAAATATACTAATTGAATTTAGAACACATTTTTATTGTTATAAATGTCACTATGTACCTCAATATTCGTTTTAGGATTAAGGAAATTCAGTATATGTCCTTTTGGGGGTTTATAGAAGTTCTCCACTAAAGCATTTGGGTACAAGTAATTGCGTAAAACATGAAAGGACAAAACCTTAGACCAAGACAACTTTGGGAAGATATAAAAAGTACCAGGAGAAGGGGTTGATGTAACGAAAGTTTAAGTAATATCTATGAGGCAGACAAAAATTCTTTCCAAAATACTGAGCTTGTTTTCTTCATATTGTATTTTGCAGTGCATAGTAGTATTTTTATTTTTCAGACAGATAACCTTTTTTAAAAAAGGAACTCAGGAGAAGTGATTCTTTTTTTTTTTTTGAGATGGAATTTCGCTCTTGTTGCCTAGGCTGGAGTGTAGTGGTGCAATCTCGGCTCACTGCAACCCCCGCCTCCTGGGTTCAAGTGATTCTCCTGCCTCAGCCTCCCAAGTAGCTGGGACTACAGGCACACACCCCCACGCCAGGCTAATTTTTGTATTTTTAGTAGAGATGGGGTTTCTCCATGTTGGGCAGGCTGGTCTCGAACTCCTGCCCTCAGGTGATCTGCCTTCCTTGGCCTCCCAAAGTGCTTGGAGTACAGGCGTGAGCCACCGCTCCCGGCCAGGGATTCTTAGTACTTGTGCTCTTCCACTGCCTCACAGTTCCCTTTCCCACCCCCAACCCCCATCTGCTAGGAAGTTTAGAAAATAGCTGGGGAAGGAACTTGAACAAAAGCATTTGTTCATTATTGGCCATCACAAAATCACGTACACATAATATATTGGCACATATATTAATTAATTAATTAGTGGATTTGAAGCTGAAGATTTCAACTATTTCATGGTAATTTTCAAATCTCATTATTTAGTAAAACAGGTTCTTACCATTCCTGAAATTGTCACATATCTAATTTAGGAAACATTCTTTCAATTATATGACTGTATCTCTAGAATATAATTCAGTAAGGACAGATAAGTACTTTGAAAATATTCATATGATTATATTGAATTAATATCCTAGTCCCTCTGAAGAAAAGATACGTAACTGCAATCTCAGTTGAAAAAAATACCATAGTTAGATGATTATGTCAGTACTAGACATTTAGCAGTGTTCCCAAGATGACTGAAATTTTATTATCTTTGGTCTTTATTTTTACATTTCTTCGCAATCCATTGGCAATAAATAGAAAAAAAAATCCCTCTACATTAACAAAAAGGAACTTAAGAAGAGTGGAATTATGTTCTAGTGTTCTATTTTAAAATGACATCACACATACCAGGCACACTCCATTTCTTAATGTTCCAAGGAAATCTTGTGCTAGTTTATCCAGAAGTCTCTCCAACCAGTTTTCACACGTACACACGCACACACACACACACACACTCATTAAATTGGAAAGATGCAGTTGGGACATGAGCTAAATTTGTCCGATGGATCAAAATAGCAAATCCAGCCTGCAAATATCTCCATACATAATGCACATACATGAAAACATTTTCTGTAACTAGGGTCTTTTCAAACAGTTTTCATTGAGAATGTTTGAATTGCATTGCAATAGGCCTCATTATTTTCCTGTGACTACAGTGTTTCTGCGACTTATTTGTGAATATATGTGTATGTGGTGGTTGGTGTGTTCGTGTGTGTCTCAAACTTAAGCAAATATTCTTTTAAATTTCCCATCCTTAGTGAAAACCATGTACATTTATTGGGTTAGCCAGGTTGGCATTGTCTGCTGTCAAAAATTACTGACCCAGAGCAAACCAAAAACAAACAGTCCTATGAAATTTATAACTTATCTTCCTTTTCTATCAAAAAATTTTATTTATCTTTTGTTTCCGCTTCGCTTTTTCTCCCTCTTCATTTCCTGCCTGCAAATTGATACTTTTTTATAGCTCTGCACGATATAGGATATTGGAAGTGGTATTATTATTAGTTGAATCAATAACTTCTTTTTCTCCCACCCCCACTGTGTGGTATATCCTGTTTAAATACATAGGATTTTGGGAATGTTTTAATTTTTTTTCTTTTGAAATGTATTTCTTCAGTAATGCTTTTGCAAAGGCTTAAAATGTTTTTCGCATAAACCTACTGAATTTTTCAACTCTAGCTTCTCTGAGTCAGTTGTCCTAATTTAATTTAGACTCGGTTGGCAAAACATACTGAGGAGAAAAAGGAGATTGGCTTTATGGTAGCCATTATAAAATAAAACATGAACACATATATGGAGCTTTAATATGGAGCTTTCATAGCAAAAATCAGTTCAATAAACCACTTCATCTATAGTTTCTGTTTCCTGCTATGCCAGAGTAGTGGATATTCCCTAGCTAGCTTATTAATTTATTCTCTCCTAATTCTTCTTCACAAAGGAGAGTAACAATTAGAAATCATAAAGAAAAGATACTAGGTGTAATACTTATAACATTGTGTTGCCTTCTAAATCTTTATTGAAGAGTCCTTAGGTCTAGCTACACAATTTGATCATTTAAATGATAAAGGTTTCTTCAGTTTTTATGACCAAATGCTTATTTGTAGTTTCACTACTGAAACTCATATTTTGAAAAAAAAATTTCTGAAAAAAGTATTATGTAATAATTCATTTTGTTCTTTTATTAAAACAAAGACTTAGCAGTCATAGCTTATAATTTGTATGTGGTTGCCAAGATTACTGTAGTGAATTGAGATATTTAAAGGCCAGTGCAAAACAACAGATCAAATTATCCCTTGAAACTCTTTCAAGAATAAATGACAGACTTCCATATGGTAATTTCTGTCTAGTAAACCAAAATCCCTAAGACAGGAAGTGTGTTCTACAATATCAGTCAGGGAGTGTTATTTATAATGATTGAAAACATTAAGCTCCTTTCAAACTCTTAGCCTATTACATTATAATGAGATTTGTCGTAGAATTAGACAGGGATAGATTTCCCTTAAGACAATTGAGCACCATGTAAATGGTGCAATAGGTTTAGGAACTGAGATAATTTTTATTTAATTATTATTGATGTATTTAATAATCATTATACATATGCATATGCTCTTTTTGGAAAACAATAATATTCTTATAAAATTATAGTTGAGATTGGGAATAATTCTTTTTTCTATTCCTTTCCTGTGGTTAGAAGAGTGGTTAATTACTGAAATATTTTTTCCCTCAGGTCTATGGGGATGTAGAAAAACTTAAGAGTTTAGGGCATCAGCTTAGTTTTTGAAGGGGGCTAAAACTTTTTACGTTAGCACCAAAGGGTTGATGCAATGCCCTAAATTTTAGTATTCCCCTATGTGAAATAGAGATAATAATATACTTCTGAGGTGCCATAGGATTAAATATGTGTAAATTTCATAGGAGGGTGCTTGGCAAATGGTCAGTACCTAATAAAACCTTAGCAGTACTTATTCTGAAATGAAATAAAAATTATCACTAATTTTTAAATGATTTATTCTATTCTTGTGTGGTACAGGGAAAACCACACAATACATTGACCACTCATTTTATAGTTTAGAGCTAGATGGCATGCAGAATCATTTGAGAAGTTTAACGGTGTTGGTTTTGAGTCACTTACCTCTAGCCCAGAAGTGATTTCTGCAGATCTTGTGCAAACAAATTATTGGTAAAAAGAGACCACATGAGATGGTGCTTAGGAACCTAAAAGTTGCTCAAAATACTGGCTTCTCTAACATGAGAGCTCCTCCTAGCATCCTAAAGGACTCAAATCCTTGGAGACTTATGAGGTCAGTTTACTAGACTTGATATACATATATATATGTATATATATTTTATATATATATGTTGTATATATTATATATATATGTTATATATATTTTATATATGTTATATATATTTTTTATATATATAGTTATATATATATTTATATATATAATTTTGGAGACAGAGTCTTGCTCTATATCCTAGGCTGGAGTGCAGTGGCATGATCTCGGCTCACTGAAACCTCCACCTCCCGGGTTCAAGTGATTCTCCTTCCTCAGCCTCCCGAGTAGCTGGGGCTACAGGCGCATGCCACCACGCCTGGCTAATTTTTGTATTTTTAGTAAAGACGGGGTTTCACCATGTTGGCCAGGATGTTCTCAATCTCTTGACCTCCTGATCCGCCCACCTTGGCCTCAAAGCACTGGGATTGCAGGTGTAAGCCACCACACCCAGCCAAGTTTGAATCTTTTATGTGCCCTACTAGTTTAGGATTATGATGAGGTATTATAATTTTATTTTCTATGGCTTCAAAACATGCCTCTGTTTGTACTATTGTCTTGTTAAAAGGAAGAGAGGAAAAAACAGGTTGTGTGTGTGCATGAGAGAGAAGCAAGGACATACATTCAAGAGTAATGTGATAACACTCTAATAACAGTATGTCATGTACTGTGGGAATACAGAGAATGAAATGTACTACCTTGGAAAGGTCAGGAAATAATTTACTCATGAAGAAATATTTGAAGTGGATTGTGAAGAGGAGTTTTTGAGACACACTAAGGAGGGATTGTGGTAAAGAAAAAAAGGCACAAATGCAGGAGGCAGCCTGGTACATTCTGGTTATAATAAGTGTTTCAACATGGATTAAGGTGTGTGTGTGTACATGCACACTCTCGCACAAGTTTATGTGCCTATATTGTGAGAGAGGCTTGTGTTTCATGTGATATGACTGCTGGATAGAGAATTGCTTTCTTAAATGACTTAAGTTTATCTTATAGGTGATGGAGAACGATGCAACAATTTTAAGCAAAGAGGACATGATAGGATTTACATGATGGATAATGACTGCATTATCAGTGTGAAGGGTGTTAGGAAAGGAAACCACTGGTAACAGTCAATAGGAAGTGTCCAGGCAAAAAATGAATGGGATTCAGAGCAAGGCAGTGGAGACAGAGAAGAGGAACCTAGTTATTAGTGCAGTGGGTTAGCAAGAGTGAGGGGGGTTGGGGGTCAGGGAGGGGCTCCTGAGTTCCAGCTCGCACGGTCTCTGAGATATGGGCTACAGGGTATTTATGCTTAGGATTTTCTTGTTTCATACATATATATCATACATAAATGTTATACGTGTATACCATATGCATGTATTTAGAAATATATATCCCTCCAGCTTTCCTCTTTTTCGAACAAAGAAATTGACATGAATAATTTCTGAACAGCAAAGAAACAATGGTCCTTTGTGGTAGGAAGAATAATGGCTGCCCAAAGATGTTTACTTGCTATCCCCAGAACAGCTAAATATGCTGCGTTACTTGACAAAGGGAAATTAAGGCAGCAGAAGGAATTACAGTTGCTAATTAGCTGACTATAAAAGAAGATTATTCTGAATTATCTTGGAAAGGGCTTTCACTGTAATCGCAGTTGGTCCTTAAATGAGGACGAGAAAGGCAAGAGAGTCAGCTTCAGAGTGATGAGATATGAGAAGGACAACTGGCCCTTTGAAGATGGAAGCAGGCCAGACTAAAGGCAGTCTTTAGAAGGTGGAGAGGCAAGGAAATGGATTCTAGCCTAGAAGCCCCAAGAAAGAATGCAGCCCGGCCAGCACCTTCATTTTAGCCCAGTGAGACATGTTTCAGGTTTTTAATTTATAGAACTGTAAAATGATCTATTTTTTATAACAAATAAGTTTGTGGTAATTTGTTATAGTCACAACAAGAAATTAATTCACTCTGGAACAGGAATGAACCTTATGACTGTATCTTTTTTCTGCCATCTTGTGCTCAATTATTTACATGAAGTTTGCAACTAATAGATGAATACGAAATTATCCGTAACTTTTCCAAGGAGGTCTTACCTTTGAATTTTAGTATTTGCTGGTAGGAAAAATATATAGTCTGAGAAAGAAAAAGGAAGCAGCACACAACGAAACAAAGTACGGATGCAAGAATTAGCTGTGAGGAGTCTGTTTTGAAATTTGTACCACTTAAAGTGCATTTTAATTGCTGAAATGATGGCAGAATTTAATAGCATGCAAGATCTTGGCTTTTGATTGGTTTGTTTCTGGTCACTGATATTGTAGGTTAAAAATAGATCTTAAATTGAAAAAAAAGTCAATATTTAGGTACTTTTTACTTGCCCGAACCATTTAATAATTTATTTGCAATAGGTACGTGTAATGAATATAGAGATTATGATGTAAATGTGGAGTATATCTGTGACTTTTAATTTCTCCAACAATGCTTACCTTACTCTTAGGAGGGGCTCAATAGAGCCCTAAGGAATATAATTACATTTATTCAGTGTTTTAATTAGGCTGGTTTAACAAATGGCGAACTGGTCTCTAAGTTCAGTGGTTTTGAGTGCTTAGAACTTTCTCATTTAAATGGATAAATAATTCTTTGGACTTTTAAATCTGTTTTTGTGATGATTTTTGTCCGTGATATTGAGGTGTATACAATTATTGTTTAGTTTCGGGGTACTTTTAGGAGCTTCATCATGTTCATCATGTTTGTGCATTCAGTGATTATTAGGAAGTCTTAATGAGTGAGATAGTTTAAAGAAACATTGTAATGCGTCAGAAGAAGAATCAGGGAGCCAGAATACCTGGTTAAACTTGGTTCTGCTACTTGCTAACCAACTAATTCTGGGAAAGCTTCTCATCTGTCCATGCATCAGGATTTTTACTGTGTATAAAATGGGGATAATAATAATGCCTATTTCACGGGGTGTTGAAAGGATTAAATGAGTTAATACATTTAAGGTAGTTAGAACAGTGATCGGCCCATAGTAGGTGCTAACTAAATGTTAGCTTTAATTATTTACTTAAGCAACACATGATATTGAAAATAATCCAGGCTTGCATTTAAAGTTGTCATGATACATAGCATAATAATACCATACATATTTATATTCCTACAACATACAGGCACACACACACACACATACACGCAGGCTTTCACATCCAACATGCATTTTATAGGTCAGAAATTGAAGGCCAAATGACATGATAAAATATCTACTAATAAATCTGTGTCCCCAACTGCTTGTCTAGTGCCATGCATGACAATAATAAAGTGTTCTCTCTGTGAAAAGATTGGGAAGAGTGATATGGTTTTCTCACAGTGTTCTACAACTCAGATCAAAGCACAGAGAAGCCTATCCCTACCTTGTTTATTTTTTTCAGTTGGCCGGAGTGTATACAAGTACAAAAGAAGACTCGGGTTAAAATTAAATTAAAACTTAATATTTCCTTTTGAGCCAAGAGCTCTGAATTTAAATCCTAAAAGAGTACTTTTAGGCCAGGTGTGGTGCCTCACACCTGTAGTCCCAGTACTTTGGGAGGCCAAGGCAGGCAGATCACCTGAGGGCAGGAGTTCGAGACCAGCCTGCCCAACATGGGGAAACCCCGTCTCTACTAAAAAGACAAAAAATTAGCCGGGCGTGGTCGTGGGCACCTGTATTCCCAGCTACTCGGGAGGCTGAGGCAGGAGAATAGCTTGAACCCGGGAGGCGGAGGTTGCGGTGGGCCAAGATTGCCCACTGCACTCCAGCCTGGGCGACAAAAGTGAAACTCCATCTCAAAAAAAAAAGTACTTTTAGTATGTTTGGGTTAAGAAATATACAGAGGAGACACTGAAACAACAAGTAGGATTTTAATAGAATTGGAATAATCAAGGCTGTTAAAAAATTTGTATGTGCTTCTTCCGTGCATTTTGCATAACTCAGGTTTTTAAAAATGAGTTTTAGTGATGTTAACAGATCTGTTCTTTGTTGGATTCTTTGTTTTGCTTGGAACAAGACAGAAACAAGGAGACATGGGAATATGCTTTCATATGATGCAGCAAGAGAAAGGCTCTTTATTATATTTTCCTGCCACTACTAACACCCTGGATCTGTCTCAAAATAATAATACTTACATGGCTTATGAAAAAACACATATAGAAGATAATATGTTCAAATCACATTTTAAGTGGCTTATAAATATTAACTTATTAAATTTTCATAAAAACTTCATGAGGTAGGTATTACAAGCATTCCCATTTTATGGAAGAGAAACCAAGGCACAAAGAGGTGAAATAATTTTCCCAAGTTGGCACAGCTGCTAAGTACTAGAGTCAGATTTAAACCCAGGTGACCTTATACCCTACCTCCTTAACTACAAGAGATGGTGTTTCTTCTCTATATAAGAAACTCAATGGCAACTGTTTCCATTATTCTGGTTTTTTAAAAATTTGCTGAGTTTAAATTCTATGTATGCTGCAACCTTAGAATAAATTTGGATTACCACTATTATTGATTGAATTAGATGCAAAAATAATTTCCTGAACATATACAATGATGGAATAATAGAGAATTGATTCATAAAGGAATGATAGAAGAGTATGGTACTCTTATATTTTACAAACCTTACATAAAAATCCAATAGTTAAAATTTCTTGCTGGGTGATAAAATTTGAGGTTTATAAAATGACTTAGATTTGAAGGTATTGCTTTAATGATACGTCAACAATTGTAACAAGCATAAGTACGTTTTGTGAATTGATAATGTTAACTCAAAGATTTTCAAACCATGTTTAATATTTAAAATTTCTTATTTATTACAGAAATATTATTTGTTATAATGGCAAAATTGGACAAAATTTAGATTTAGCTTATCTATCTGAGCTGAAAAGATCTTTGCGTTTTGTAAAAGAGAAAAATGCTTGAGTGAAAAGTGGACATGACTTTTGTAATAAAGACAGGTTAACAGAGTGATTGAGATAGAATGAAGGACAGCCTATTTGTTTGTTTGCTTTTTGAGACGGAGTCTCGCTCTGTAGCCCAGGCAGGAGTGCAGTGGTGCAACTCGGCTCACTGCAACCTCTGCCTCTCGGGTCCTGGTTCAAGCAATTCTCCTGCCTCAGCCTCCCAAGTAGCTGGGATTACAGGCACACACCACCATACCCAGCTAATTTTTATATTTTTAGTAGAGACAGCGTTTCACCATGTTGGCCAGGCTGGTCTCGAACTCCTGATCTCGTGATCTACCCATCTCAGCCTCCCAAAGTGCTGGGATTATAGACATGAGCCACTGCGCCCGGCCTGGACAGTCTAACTTTTTAAAAGTCAAAGTGGTGTTTTGGTAACCCTTTAACATATTGGTTAAAGAACACAAGCAAAGTTGTGCTATCTACATCGTGTTTGTAAGCTAGCTCTGCAAATTTAGTTAATTAACTAAGTTAATTAACAAGTTAGTTAATTTCTTTGTGTCTGTTTTCAACTTGTTAAAGTGAGCACAGTAATAGTACCTACCTTACAGAATCATTGTGAGTATTAAATGATTTAGTGTGCAAAGCATTTAAAGCAGAGCCTGCAATATACTATGTGCTCAATAAAAGTGAGATTATATTGTGATGGTGATAGCAGTGTGAGGAGAAGAGGGCTTTACTGAATTATGGTCTAAATGTGCCAAATAGCAGATAAGACATAGCAGCATTACATGAGTGAAATATTACTCCAAATGCTGCTGCTGTAAACTGTTCTCTCATAGAGAATATATGATGGCTAAATAAAATGTGTAATTTCATGTAAATAGCAAGATGTGTGGTAAAGTCATTGTGTTAGTTTGCTAGGCCTGTAGTAACGAAATTCCACAGATTGGATATCTTAACAGAAATTGATTCCTCACAGTTTAGGAGGATCCTAGTCCAAGATCAAGGTGTTGGTAGGTATGGTTTCTTCTGAGGACCCTCCTCCTGCCTTACAGATGGCCATCTTCTTGCCTTGTCCTCACGTGATCTTTTCTCTGTGCACATGTGCTATGGTTTGCGTGTTTGTCCCTTCCAAAACTCATGCTGAAACTTACTTGTCATTGTAACAGTATGAAGAGGTGGGGCCTTTAAGAGATGACTAGGTCATAAGGGATCCACTCTCACGGGTGAATTAATGCTGTTATGGAGAGAGTGTGTTAGTTACTAGGGGAGTGGGCTCCTGGTAAAAGGTTCATCGGCTCCCACACCATGTGATGCCTTTTGCTAATGTGCTTACCCTCCCCAGATGCCAGTACAGTGCTCTTGCACTTCTCCACCTTCAGAAATTTGAGAAATACATTCCTTTTCTTTATAAGTTACCCAGTCAGTGATATTCTATTATAGCAACAAATATGGACTTAGCACATATCCCTGATGTGTCTCTGTGCATTCAAATTTCCCCTTCTTATAAGGATACCAGTCAGATTGGATTAGAGCCCATCTTAATGGCCTCATTTAAACTTAATTACCTATTTAATGTCCTTATCTCCAAATAGAGTGACATTCTGACATACTGGGGGTCAGGGCTTCAACATATGAATTTGGAGAGAAAACACAGTTCAGCCCATAACAGTCACTTTTGAGGTAAATGAATTTTAAGACCTGTGACTAAATGTCTGGGCTAATGTTAAGGTGTCAATGTTTTAATCATGAAATTGATGGTTATCTGTCTTTTAGGACTGCTGTGGTAATATGGAGCTTCATCTTCTGAGGAAATGGATTGCTTATAGTAGAAGCACAGCTCACTCAGACTGAGGCCTTTGGAAAGTGTTTCAGATCTGGTGCTTTTAGATTAGGGTTTTGACTACATTTATTTAGAGATAAAATAGCCACCAGTTAGAAGAATTTAGTCTTTTTACCTCAGTGTATTTCTAACGAAAATTTTATTCCATTACTTTGAGAACTGTGGGAGGAAAATTATAAACATCTCTTTCTATAGACCCTTGGGAACCAAGGGGACATAGAAAGCCAAATATTTTCTGGAAAAATAAATACTCAAATTTATAAACATTTCATTCATTTCTGAAGGATGAGACAATAGACATACGAAATGTATTTCAGGATCAATGATGCTATCCACCAAAGCTGTATAAATTAACAATTTGTTATTGGACACCATTTATGTGAGGAATGAAATGTCACTCGCCATGTTGTTTTCAGTCAGTCAAATTGCTTCTGAGTACTTGACAATCTTCTATATTGTACCAGTGAGATGCAGATATATACGTATATATGTATTCAAGACTCCTCTATTATTTATTGCCCCTGGCCCAAACACACCAAATGAAAGTACTTTCTGCCTACATCATGAATCACTGTACACCATAAATAAAGCTGTCACAAAATGAATTTTATTTTAGTTAACTGAAAAAAAATCAAGAAAAAATACATTTCCCTTTGTTTAGAATAGTAGTTGCCAAAATTGAATTACAAAATGTATTGTTTTTCGTTGAAGAGCAAACCAAAAATGAATTAGACGTGGACTCTCAGGGGATAATATCCACTGGCACAGGGAAAGCAGATTTAGTGGCTATGTTTGCAACTATGAGCCAGAGAATATTAATTTGTTATTCTAAAATTTAGCTTTCTGTATAACTTGAGGTATGAAGTGGGAATATGCTGTTAATAATGATAACGGTTGGCTTATTTGTTGGAATCTTCCAATAAGTATTTTTATGACCACTAGAAAAAAAGGGTGTAAATTTAAAAGTAGTTATAAAGTATATTGAAAAGATAATTTTAAAATTGAGAAAGGAAAGAAAAGAACTTTTAATATTCTGTTGTGGAATTATGGCTCTCTTTCATCCTCCTCGCATTTTCAATAACACTTAGTATTATTGACATAACTTTGTCTTCTTTGAATTGCTTCTTGAGCTCTGCCATTCACTAATGGCTTTTGCTCTTAGCATTGTCTTGAAAAAATTAATTTTCAGTCTTTTTTTTTCTTTTTTGTGCCTTCTTAATACTCTTTTCGAACAAAACCTTTAGTAGAATTTCAACATATAATGGAGCTGCTCTCAGTCAGGGATTGACTCAGCCCTGTTCAGAGACCGAACCCTCTTTTTCCCTCCTCCTCCACCACTACAGCAATCATCAAGTGCCTCTTTGAAACCTCAGGACATCAGGAGCAAAGGGTGAATGTGACTATTCCCAGCAATGCAGATCCATGTATTTACCTCTTCTTATTCTTTCTGTTTTATCAAACTTTTCCGAGTCCAATTCTCACAACAAGTAGCAATTAATACATGGCAAAGCCATATCTCGGTGGAGTTAGATGTAGATAATTTGGCATTTCTTACTCACTCTTCAAGCTGGACTGCCCAGGTTCCTTGAAACTAGCCTGTGCCATTTTCAACTCAAACATTTTTTTCATGACTTTCCCTCTAACTGGAATGCAACTTTTTTTTATCTCTTCCATTTGAAAACTTGTACATCATTTGTTAGTCATTTCTAGTATTCCAAATATAATTTACTGGTGCTGTCAAACTAAATGAGATCTAGTACCTTTTATGACAATTATTTAACCATTGCTTATGATATGATCCAACATATATTTGTGTTAATTGGTAAAAACTCTTTGATGAGACAGAAGAGTGTTTAGAAAGACACATAGACATCTGTCCACACCCATTTATTCAGTTTAGAAAATTAAGAAGTGGAACAGCTGATATTTCTATAAAATGCATGAAAACTGAGCTGAGAAGATGTGCTTGGACAGAGCATAGAAGGTAAGCAATAATTAAGATACAGAAAAGGAGGCCATCAGAGAGAGTGAGAAGAAGCAGACACATCCTACATCTAAATTCTTTATTGCTATATAAGGTAAATAAAATCTACATAAGTATAGTCTAGCCAAAATATGCAGCTGGCAAAATGGAGATATTGAGAAGATATAATAAAGTAACTAGAAAAAAATATTGCAAATTATTGTATTCAGCTGCTTTCTGGTAGATAGGAATTGCTTGAATATAAGTTCATGAGCAGAGCCAGTGGTCCCAGTGAATATCAGACTGCTGATATTCTAGACTTTAATCAAGGTGCTATATTGCTACAATTGTGAAAAATGGTGGTCTTTTTGAATTTTGCAGAAAAAGCAATTTACTGGTTAGAATTTCCTTGTGTCTAAACAGATGTCTTATCATTTTTTCTCATATTCCTTTGATACTTACTACTGTTTGTCTGCTAGCAAAAGCAGTTTTTAAAATAAATATTGATGGGAAAATTTGAGATAGCCAGTAACACTTGTTATTGACATATGTTTTGCATGGTCATGAATTTTTCCTCTTTTTAAAATACTGATCTAAAATATGTTTATGTTTCCTGCTGTTAAAATTTCCATAGATTTTAATATGGGTGGGAAAATATCAGTATGTGAGTGTGAGTTGTTTTTTTTTTTAAAAAGAAACTCAGGTGTAAGAATTACTAGCAAATATATTTGAAAGGATAATTTTCAAGAAGTGAGGCAGCATGCTGCATGAAAAAAAATGAGGATATGCTGGAGAAAAAGGTTACTCAAAATTTGCCTCAGTGTGACTATGGCAGTTCTTTTAAAAAGCCGTGTTATCTGTTCTTGATTCAGAGTGGTTTATGACTCTCATTCTGAAGTTTAGTTTTGAAGTTTGAGAAACCATTACCACATGGTTGAGAATTTGTTGGTGTGAATGTTATTTTTTGATATTATAGATTGTCCTGTGTTATATTGACTCCAAAACCTTTAATTTGTTGAAGATATGGATGTTTGGTGGCTATTTTCCAAGCTGCATATTATTGCAAAAAGAAAAAGCACAAGGATATATGAATATTAGATTTTTTAATCAACAAATCCAGAAGTTACCATGTACCTAGGCCTAATAGTAATCAGTAAAGTAAAGAAGACAGTGGTCATGGGGGAAATTAAACTATCTCCTTGTTTGTTGGAATACCATGGGGCTTTTATATGAGGAAAACACAAAGAATATTTGTTTTATTTAGTAATCTAAATTGTGTAAATTTGCTTTATGCAAGACTTTATTAGGAATTAGAAGAGCAAACAAAGCTAGGGACCTACAGTTACCTTCTTTAGAAAACATATTGTGCCCTTCATATAATTAACAGATTGGTGTAGAAGTCAAACCTGATTACTGGGATAATGCACTCAAAAGTGCCATGCAAAACATCATTCAAATGTTAGATATTATTAGCTTATTAAAACAGAAGCTTCTGGGCAAGGTAAAAAAAGTAGCCAGAACATACATATAGTGTAATTAAACAAATTCCCTTTATCTTCTGTCCTCACATTATATACACACATATGTAGGTATTTGCACTCAAGTAACCCAAATTGTCATATAATTTCTAAAATCTTTGTTGATGTTCAGTGTAAAAATGTGTGATTTTGTTATTGAAATACTTGCCTAGGAAAGGCTTTAGCTATTAAAACATAAATAGGTCTAGAGATAATCAAGAGTTCAAAAATGGTGCAATGGGGAGAATAAGGATTTGCAACAAAGAGAATTTGAGGCAAAATAAAGGAATACAAAATGAACACTAATTTTATCAGAGTTCTTTAATAGGAATATGATGTATAATAATTTATAATGCTTGAGGATTTCACAGAAATCAAGTTCCATCAAGTCTTATTAAGAGGCAGTTTCATTCCCTATAGGAAAAAAGGAAAGTAAATGATCCAACATGTTTCATAAATGCCACTGACATTGGGGGGCATGATCTTACTTCTTTGTCGTGACAGATAAACGACAGAGAGAACATTTTTTGACAGAAAATGTCCAAAAATAGCACAGTGTTCAAGACAGATTGACCAGATTATTCAACGTAAAGCAGAGAACTAGAAAGTTATCCAAGGAATATTTATTTTTCCATCACAGGTGATGCAGTGATCTATAGAACAAACTATAACTTTAGTAATCCGACGCTAGAAACTAAATGACTAGGGAAGCAGAGCAGCAGATGCTAAAGATAATTTGTACCCTCTCTGACACTCTGTTGTTTTTCTAACGGTATTGTTGCATAAACTTCAATCATCTCTTCCCCTTGCTTTTGTTATTTCTCTTACATACTTATTCTGAATCTGATGCCCTTGAACTCATCTGAGGCTTCCCAAAAGAATGACTAGAAGGGTATGTTGATAGGATGATAGATACACTAATGCTTAGCTACGTTGCATGTCTCTCATTTCTCACTGTAGTTCCATGGTGAGGTTAAATGCTTTGAAGAAGGTTATCGCCCCCACAAAATATCAAACAGGTTATAAAGTGTTGGTTATCACAAGATATAAGAGTGTTTTCTTCTTGATGTTTAAAATTTTGGATTTTGGGGGATGTAGAAAACATAGGCCACCTATTAGAATGTCTACATTTTCAAGTCCATGTACTTTTAATGCATGTGATGATCCCAGCAGAAAGACGTATGGAATATACAGCAGGAATTGCGTGGGAGTCCTGAGAGGTCTGCCAGGGAAGATCTGCCTGTTTTGACAAGGAATGGGGTAGTGGAGAGACCCCCAGAAAGGGGAGAGAGTGATCTTTGAGTAAGTCAGAAAATAATAAGAGATTACCAATATTTGTGTTTCAACAATCTTAGTAAAGTAAGACTTTCTTCTTATCATCGCATTTGTCCTCCTTCTCTCCCCAGAAGCTGTTCAGTGAGTAGAGGGTGGGGTTTGGAGGAGGTGAGGAAGAACACAGGGAAGAGTACTGGAGAAAGACAGAAGCCTCACCCCACTGTTGGCCGGTGAGATTTGCTGGTCTTTCCTGATCTAGGGAAGTGTGGAAATTTTATTTGGTTAAGATTAGAGTCTTAGTGGCTTAAAATACATCACCTAAGAATTGCTTATTAATTAATTTCTGAAAGCCGTTAAACTGCTAAAGCATATGCCCAAAATTTGGTCTAGGAAAGAGGAAGATGGGGCGCCAAAGCTGATGTTGGAGGTGTTAAAACTAAGTGATAGAAACAAGTAAAGTTTGTTATTCTTTCCTTAAGCCTTCTGAGTCCAGCCTGTTCTGTAAGCTGGTTACATGTGCTTTACCTCATTGAATCCTTATGAGATGGATTCTATTATTATTATTATTTGAAGAATGTGCATTCAAGAGAGGTTATAAAACTTGTCTGAGTTCACACAGTTAGTGGATGGCAAGGCCAGATTTTGAAGCTAGACACTGACCCTTATCCAGGATGGATAGGTGCAAGAATTGGGTAAAATGGGAGGTAAGATCCCATGACTGTGAACAGCAGTGGTATAAAAGCTCTGAAATAGATAAAGGATAAGAGATTTAAAGCAAGGGCTTGGGAACCAGAGCATAAAATCAGAGACTAGAAAGCCTTTAGTATTAGTCCACAGGGTCAAGACAAATTTTAATACAGCCAAGGTTAGTGATTCAAGCAGAAAATACACAAGATCTATGTGGCTAATCAGCAGAATGCTCAATAGAATGTGACAAGTACACTGGCAAACAGAATTCATTTACTCACTCAAGAAAAATATATTAAAAACTCTAGTACAGGCGAGATTTTGTATAAGGCCCAGAGATTGCATTAGTCAGCAAAGCAAATGAGGGCTTCTGTCCTCATGTGGCTTCTTTAGGAGGCAAAGTAAAAGTGGGTGTTTTGTCTTTTAACTGCTTTTATATTTCTAATCCTGTACACGTGGCTTCCCAAACACAAAACAGTTTTCAGATCTGTTGGAAAGCAGTCCACTGCCGTCATCTTGTGCTCCTACTTGTCTTCCTGGGTGTACCAAAATGACAAGGCCCTGACTATTCCTTCACCTGTGCCTTTTCTCAGGATTGTTTATGCAGCAGCCATTTCTGGAAACTGAGGCCATGCATCCCAGGAATGTATCGTGTTTACCTGAGTTATGCTTGGTCTCCCCATGAGTAGAACAGAGGCTTGCTTAATGTTTATTGTAAAAGTAGTGTGTGCTCCTTAAACTCAGGGCTCCTCTCTGATGACACACTCCACTGAATATACAATCTCTACCTAGCCCTTTGGGTTGCCCTGTGGGATTTAGGGCTTGGGGAATCAGCACTAACTGATTAACAACTGTGCTGATTCTTCTGCTTCTGTGACCCAGGAGTCCTGTGTCTGCTGTCAAAGTCTATGGAGCTTGACAAGCTAATCTGTTAGTTTATACAGTTGTTGCAGTGTGAATTGTCCTGCTACTAAGTCCCCTCCCCATATCACACGTATTGAAGTAGGGTAGAATTTCAACAGACTCCTCTTAGGAGCCATGCAGATTATTCAATCAATCACTAGTATGTGATTGTGTTTGCCAGGAGAATCATTCTCTACTTTTTCATCACCAAGCCCAAAGGCAGAGAGATCTATGGCCTCACAGAATGGTTGTCCTTGTTTATTGTTTTCTGTTTTAGTTATTTGGGTGTTTTTAAAGAAATGACTATTCTACCTAAAAATATTTGCTTAGTTTATCATGCTGTCAACCATACTTCAATCCACTTGGCAAACTGTTTTCTGAACAAAGTTGTCTCGTGATTATAAATGGAGACCATGGAGGTAGGAGAAAGATAAATGTTTATCACAAATCCCTAGGATGAATCTTAAAAAAGATGTCTACAACAGTTTTATTTGAAAGAAAGGCCAGAGTTGTACTAATTAGCACATTGGAAAGTGCTTCTTTACATGGTTTGTTTTATGGGAACAGAATAAATTTAGGCCACAGGCTGATTTAAAATTTTTTCCCTCCGAATATAGTATAGTTTTTAAGTATTCACATCATGACATTCAAAAGTGAAAGACTTCAAGATTTTGTGGAAATAAGTGGGTTCATGGAAAGTGCAAGCATAGGTCATAAAGATTATATTATATTGGCGAGTTTTTACTGTATTTTTTCCCTCTCTTTGAGGCAATCCAATACTTGAAATCTTCTTTTCACGACTTCTCTTTGCTCACCGGAAAATATTCACTGATGACAGTGAATATTTTGAATAATCAAAGGTTACTGCATAAACCCTATCAGGTTTGTGCCTTCTAGGAACATGCTTGTCAATTTATGGTGAAAGCTAGAAACTGCAGGCCTATATACAAACAGATGAAAACAAGGAACACCCCACTGTATGAGTGGTCTTCCTTTTAACATCTTTTTCAAAAAATATGATTTCCAGGACAATAGTGTATCAGAAAAGTGTGATTGCTTGGGCTTACCATGACTACATGGCCCTCAATTCTTCAAAAAATATTCCTTATCAAATTAAATTTTCTAAAGTGTTGTCTAAAGCTGTATCTGTAGTTTAAAACACAAACACTTCTAAAATTTTAGTTTCGCCAAGTATTAGCCACTAGAAGTTTCTGATAAACACACATACACACATAAACTGGACATAGGTTTAAGTTTTGCTGAGACCAATGACTAACCGTTAATATGTTTCTCTGTAAGCTCTTCAAGTAGCACAGGGAGCCTGGCATTTAAATAGTTGCTGGTTGAATGAATAAATGAGTGAGTTGTATCAGAGGGAATGGCTATGGATTAAATATATGTAATTGGATTTAATGCCTCTAGGCACTTGTACTGTAGATTCTGAGCCCAAACATTATGGTATATATATATTTTTTTTTCCTGAAGCAAATGCCTTGCTATTTTCAGGGACTGTTATGTGTTCACTTTCAGCAATGTAATGTGGAGGTGTCTGGAATCTCCTCAAAGCTAATCTATGAGAAAAGTTTGGTTTTGCTGAATTGGGAGATGACATTTCAAATCTAACTAAAGAATCAGATTAATATATTCTATAATTTTATGTCTTGGGCTATTGGGTAAGAATTTCAATTGCTTTATTTTTAGGAAGCTGGTCAGATAAAGTTGTTTTTGCCAGATAAAAAGTGACATGTATTTTCTTGTCATTTCTCTTTAATGTTTTTATTTCCTTTAAGAGAAATGATTTTACGTTAAAACTTTTATTCTTATTCAGTATTTCCTTTCAATGTTCTTTAAAAATATCTGCCAATGAAACTAATTCACCTTCTTGCAAAATGTTAACATTTTCAATTTTAAGTAGAAACCACCTTGCCAACAGTGTTATTTCAAAACGTTTGATTTGTCATGATATGTTCAGTCTATTTTTAAGATTCTCCAAATTGAATTTTGAGGTTGGTGCTTGTTCCAAGTTAGAGCAGCATGCAATATGTTGCAGTATGACTGAGTGGAGGAGAGAAAGAGATCCAGGAATAAATATATCTAGAAGAGTGCTCACAGAAAAATTCTGTCTTTTCATTTCCCCAGCAAAGAAGATTAACTTGCCAAATGGCATCTTGCCCTCAAAGTCATAATGAATCTCATTGATGAACAAGTGTGATAGTTACTTTTGATGAATACTTCCATTTATGTGAAGCACAAAACATTGTTGAAAAATACATGAATTATCTGACTTCTCATTTTCAATCAAAGATAGTTTAGTGACTAGTCATACTGAGATGTTTGTGCACAATGCTGAGGCCATAGTAGGTATTCAATAAATACTAGTGACTGATGAAGTACTGAACATCCTTAAAAGAAAGCCTACTACTCGTGTTAACAAAGAAGAATTTTCTTTTCTAATACTCAACAGTGTATGCCAAGCACTGTTTAATTAGACATAAAAATGAGAATAAGACAACATTCTAGCCATCAGGAAACTCACAGTGAAATGAGGGATATATACCTGTAATACTAAGGGGGAAATGTTACACAGGACATTAAGGAATCTTCATCAAGGAAAACTGTTCTCTTAGTAACATTTACATGTATCTTGGAATAACTGGATTGAACCTCCACCTTTTTGAATAATCTACTTTTTAAACAGCCATAATTTCTTTTTATTTTCTATATGAATGCTGTTTTAATTTAGCAAACAAGTATACATTGTTCAACAGCAATGCACATATCCCTTGGCACAAATCAGTGCTCCTCAATAAACAATTTTGATTGAAAGAATGACTCTTTACTAGATTACATTTAGATTTTTAATATTAAAAATGTTGATTTCGCTATCAAGAATCTGTCTCAATTTTAATTTTTTTCTTCTTCCATTTATGTCTTAAGGAAATCTATGATGTTTACTGACCCTCTTGTAACTCCTTAATTGGGCTTGGTTCATAATTATGATGTATTTTCCACAGTTTTAGAGGAAAATCTATGTTCTATAAAACTGGAGATTTTAAATCAGTAATCTGTTGCAGTTAACATTGTTTCCACATTTAATGGAATTTTCAAGTCTTTAGCTTACGAAGGGCATTTTTATTTAATATTCCAGAGTCAATCTAATAGGCTTAAAGTATTTAATGTTTCATGTTGATTTGGTAGCTTTGTAGATGAAATAAATTATGCGTATTTTTATTAGGTACACTGGAAAAGGAGGCCTCTTTTTCAGTCATGTAAGAATACCTGCTGCTTTATTTTTGCATTTCTTTGTGAAGTGCTTTCCCTTTTATCCCCTTTGCTAAATCAGTGTGGAGCCCAAAGCATCATCACAGCGTAAGGAAATAATTGAATTTCTACTTGGGAAATTGGATTTTGACGAGTTGGATTTCCCCAGTGGAGTATGAATGACAGTAACTCAAACTCTAAGAAAAGGGCATCTTTGGAATATCCTTGTAGAATAGTTCACAGAATCCTGGGCCATAGTTTTAGTGTTCTTTTCTTTCCCCCTACTAGATTGCAAATTTCCTCATGTGCCTTTCTTTAACTATCATGTATATAACATGAGTGATAGATTAAAACGCAAACTGTGAAGAGTGTCTTAACGAAGGTTGGGATGCAGTGCTAAATTCCGTAATCGTGTGAGGTTATCTGAGGAATTAAAGGAATTGAGGTCTATTGCTGAGGTACAGTGTCTATTTGTACAGTAGAAGGATTCATTCTAGGAATGGCACTGAGAAGATGCAGTCAGAAAAGAAGAAATGCCAAGCTGGGTAGACATTCAAGAGATTCTGTGGATTTCTGTGGACATAAAATACCCCTTCATACAAAATTAAAAATGCAGTTTTCTAATTATGTTGTCTAGACACTATTGAAGTATTCCAATTTCCTTTATTATTATATCTCAATGATTTCACTGTTATATTGACATAATTGTTTGCTTTGTATCTTTTAAACACCTGACCACCTTACTAAATGAAGCGATACCTTTTGGGCATTACTCAGTTGAGGATCCTGGGTCATGTTTTTGTATCAAATGCAGGCAAAGAATTTAGCATTTGAGAAGGCAGTGTAGAAGTCTATATTGCTAACTAATGTTTGAGTCACTGAACTCAAATCATGTTTTAAAGGGTTTTTTTTGTGATACTTATGAAAAAGTATGCTATATAACAGAGTTGAATGACCTGATGTTGACAACATTTAAAGTAGACTACCTAGAATACTAGCTGATTACCTTGTTAGCATTATTGCAATTTATTAATTTAAATTTGGAAGGGTGCTTAAGAGTCACGGAATATGCTTATTAGAAGAAGCTGTATCATTCAATTTTATAAAATATTCTCTTAAGGGTAAAAAAATCTTTTTCAAAATACTTGCATCAAAATCAGTGGCTATAGCTGGTTGAGCCAGCCCATTTTATTCTAGACTCATTGTAGCCCATTCTATTCTAGGATTGCTGGCCAAGAGACTTTAGCACATACCTATTGAGCAATGTCTAGCGAAATGCTCACCTGTACAAGGTGTAGGAGGAGAAAGTGCCTCAAATTAGATGTTAAGATTACTGGTCTCTAGAAACAATCTGTCTTTTATTCATGCCATTGAGCGTTTACTGAGAGACACAATGCACCATCTAATGTGGGAGGTGTTTGGCAAATGTGGGCAGCTGTCACTTGTCTGGTGCCGAAGCATTTTAGTTACATTCTGTGGAGCATCTTTTGACTTGTTTTCTCATTTGTAAAACTGAGGTATTAATGTGTGGTTGTGTTTCACAAAAGTTGATATGAACCTTAAATTAGATAATAGATTTTTTGGAAAAAGCCTTTTATTTGATACTATGATACATGCACAAATATACATTTAATTATAAAAGTAAAACATGAAATGTCTTCTTTTTAAAATATTTAATAAACCAAAACTCCGTAAAATAAGAAGTGAAATTCTTCCAGGGCAAACCCCACTGTCTATAGTTTAGTGTGGTATCTGATGATTTTAGCCATGGTTATGCATAGAAGCAAACACGTTTAGTTTTGATATTGTTGCTGTTTTCAGTGTTATTATTTTATAAAATAAAAAGATATATGTATGTATGTATATTGGTGTGATAAGGATATACATATAAACATAATCACTATATATAAATATATTCATATAAAATCACATATGTACATATGTCCTACTGTAACTTGCCTTCTCCTTAGAAGTTAAATTTACATTGAGCACACTCTTCCTATATAAAATATTTTATGGAACATATGATGATTTATAAAACCATTCCCTTTAGATTGAACATTCAGATTGTTTCTACTTATTATTATTATATTGCATTATTATCATAAAAGTACTTAACATGAGATATGCTCTCAACAGATTTTTAAGGGTAGAATACAGTATTGTTATCTGTGGGCACAATGTTCTACAGCAGATCTCTAAAGCATATTCATTTTTCATAATTGAAATTTTATACTTATTGAACAATTCTTCATTTCCTGGTCCTCCCAGCCTCTGGCAACCACCGTCAGCACTATTCATAAGAGCCAAGATGTGGAAACAATGTTACATGTTTACACACCCTACATGTACACAAAGCATTCACATACACCCCACACATACCATGCACATATACACACTACACACACTCTAAATGTACCTATACCACAAATACCCATCATTCGAACACCGCACACACACACACACACACACACACACACACACGCACAGAGTCTGTTCCCTAGCCACAGCACTCCTGCCCACTACAACACCGAATGAAAGACATATGGTTAAACTTAAAAGATTCCTAGACTAAACGTCCTATACCTCAAATATGTCAACTCTTCCCAAATACATGTAAAATTGAGTGCAATCTCAATCAAAATCTCAACAGGTTGCTTTTTTTTCTGAGAACTTGTCAAGTTTATTCTAAAGTCTATCTGGAAGACAAACTGTGCAAGAACAGCCAGGATATTTCTTAAAACAAAGTAGAATATTAAGGGATGACTAGCCTTTCTCGTTATCAAAACATACAAAAGGTCGCAGTGATTAACATAGAATGGTTTTGGGTCCTGGGATATATCGGGATATATCAGTGACAAAAAAATAGAGTCTGTGAATATTGAAACCTGAGCATTAAGATAAGTGAACCATGTTAGTCCCTGCAACTTCATTTAATATTTTTAAAAAGGTAGTCTGCCCTTCTGTAATGGGATTATTACCTTAGCATAATGTCCTCAAGGTTCATCCATGTTGTTGCATATTGCAAAATTACCTTCTTTTAAAAGGCAGACTATTTTGTTGTATGTTTATAGCACACTGTTTTCATCCAGTTATCCATTGATAGAAAATTAACATTGTTTCCACATCTTGACTGTTATGAATAGTACTGATGGTGTGTGTATAGTGTGTGTGATGTGTATGTGCATGCCGTGTGTGTGTGTGTGTATGCCATGTGGTATGTGTATGTGGTGTGTAGTGTGTGTGGTGTGTCAGGTGTGTGTATATGGTGTGTGTTGAAGTGGGAGAGAAACAGGGATGAGTACATTAGATGGTAGATCTGTGAGAATTACGTATGTAATTCTATGAATTTAGCAACTCCACAGTCAAAAGAAAAGAAACAGTAAGTTTTTTGTTTGTTTGTTTTTTGTTTTTAACAGAGTCTTGCTCTGTGGCCCAGGCTGGAGTGCAGTGGCACGATCTTGGCTTAGTGCAACCTCCTCCTCCCAGGTTCAAATGATTCCTATGCCTCAGCCTCCCCGTAGCTGGGATAGCTGGGGTTATAGGTGTGCGCCACCACGCCCAGCTAATTTTTGCATTTGTAGTAGAAATGCTCTTTCACCATGTTGGCCAGACTGGTCTCAACTCCTGACTGCCTTGGCCTCCCAAAGTGCTGGGATTACAGGCATGAGCCACTGTGTCCAGCCACAAGAGTAAAATTTTAAAGCAATTCCTGATAGAATGCTGAGGAAGGAGGAGGGGTGGTGGGGTCTAGGGTGAGGAGGATGGAGAAGTCAATGGTCTAATCAACTCCAAGATGTTTCCAAGGCTTTGCATGCTAGAAGCAACCACCCCTTTTCTTTTACCTTGGACAGCCCAAAGCCTCAATCTATAGCCACTATCTCCAGACTTAGCATACAGGTCCCTCTTCCAATCTACCATTCCAACCATATTTCAGGTTCTTCTTTAAGTGTAAGTGCTTGAGGCCTGCTGTTTCCTCCTGTGTGTGTGCAGCCTGCTCTCCACCCACTTCCTAGGTAATTCACCCCTTAATAAATCGAACACTTGTTGATATCCTAATACTCATCAGTGTTCTCTGTTCTTGGAATTTATACCTGGACAGCATTAAAAATGTCCCATCCCTCAAGAAGCTTACATTCTAGTCATAATTCGTAAGAAATTATGTAGTACGTTAGCAGATTTTAAGTGCAAAGGATAAGTAAAAGTAGAACCGAGTGGGATCTAGCTGGAGAGTGGGTTGAAATTTCAAATAGGATGGTCAGGGCAGAGCCAAAGACAAGATGACATTTGTACCAAGTCTTGAAGGAATTTGGTGGATTTATCAGTGGAAACATCTGGACTCTACACTAAAGAGCGTGTTTTCATTACCCTTGATGCTCAAAACAAGATGTACATGTTGGTCCATTTGCATGATGTTTGTCTGGTCTTCACTGACTTATTTTGATTTATAGGTTTGTGACCTCTTTGCCTCCAGCTCTAGAAAGCTTACTATTAATAACTTTGAATATAGTTTGGGCTGTTCTGGTTTCCTCTGCAGGCATTAAAATTCAAGCTAAATGAAGTCAAGTGTTCCGTTTCTTTCAGTTTATAAATTCTGTAAAAATATGGACGTGATTTTAAAGGTAATAGGTTTTCAATTTTGGACAGTCCTAGGTAAATTCTCATTAAGTATTTGTGAAATGGAGGACGGGATGTAGAGATCGGCACTCCATTCTCTTTCTCCCACACCTATCACATTTCTTGTAGTTTTTCTTCCAGTGACTTTCTTTATTTTCAGAGCACTTATGTTTTTCCTTCACATCATCAATTTTATGTTTTAAATTCTACTTTTTATTGCCTTCAATATGACTTTTAATTGAGCCTTAGTATTTAGAATGTTTTGCATTTTTTCTTATTTCTGCCAACCTCTTTATACTATCTTGTTCATCCTTGCTTGTCTTTTCCTTATGGCTCATTTTCCTGTTTCATTGATCTTGACACTTTTTGATGACACCAAACAATTATTTTCAGAAATGCATTTTAAATCCCATTTAAACAATATTTGTCACTGCTGTGCTGTTCTATAGTACCTTTAGAGAAAGAGTCTCCTTATTGTATAGATTATATTTTAAGTACAGTATATAAAAGTATAACTGGAAGATGGCTACACAATGCAGAATTCTTGGCGGTACCATCGCCATCAAAAGAACAAGCTCCTTGGCCTTCCTATCCCTATGAGCCTCCTGCCCCTCTGGCTCCCATGTGACGTCGGGGAGACATCTATTAGTTGTTTTAGCATCTATCTTAGACAGTCTCACTTTTTTAAAGCCTTGGATATAGCAGGTACAGTGTAGTATTAACCTGGTGTACTCTGGAGCCAGATGCCTGAGTTTAAAACCCACTTTGACTGACCTTTGTCAGCTCCATGACTCAGGGAAAGCCACTTACCTTAATTTCTCTGGTCTTCCTTTTCCTTTTCCTGATCTATAAAATAGAAATAACCACTGGCTTCAGGAGGAGTAAATGAGTGAATGGAGGTTAATATCTAAAAACATGATTAAGCACTCTGTGAATGTTAGCATATTTATTCTTAATTTTATTTACTGTTATTTATAAATCCCATAGTTTTAGTAAATTTTTTCTGTTTCCTAATCTTTGAAAGAGAACACATGTATCAATTGTTAGCTTCTGGTACCAGGAAGGAATTTTTTCTACCTACCTCATTTTTTCCAAGGGCCTGGAAGGCCCCCTTCCTCCCTCCCTCCTTTCTTTTCTTTTCTTTTCTTTTTTCTTTTCTTTTCTTTCTTTCCTTCTTTCCTTCTTTCTTTCTTTCTTTTCTTTTCTTTCTTTCTTTCTCTGTCTCTCTCTTTCTTTCCCTTTCTTTCTTTCTTTCTCTTTTTTTTGGTTTGTTTTTGTTTTTGAGACAGGTTGATACAGGGTCTCATTCTGTCACCCAGGCTGGATTTCAGTGGTGATCTGGGCTCACTGCAGCCTTTACCCTCCAGGTTCAAGCTGTTCTCCCACATGAGTCTCCCAAGTAGCTGACACTACAGGTGTGTGCCACCACACCTGGCTAATTTTTGTATTTTTAGTAGAGACAGGATTTTGACATATTGCCCAAGCTGGTCTCGAACTACTGGGCTCAAGCGATTCACCTGCCTTGGCCTGGCAAAGTGTTGGGATTACAGGCGTGAGCCACTGCAACTGGTCTTCCTACTTTCTTATTACAACTAGAATTAAAACAAAACACAACAACAACAAAAGTAATTAGCCTAACCTCCATCTCATTTTCTTGCTATTAATGTTGTTTGCATCTGTAGAACTACTGCTTTGGGATTTTCTCCTGCTCTGGCTCTTTGGTTCTAACTGTAATTGTGAGTCAGGAGTAATGTCTATATGTTTATATATCTTTGGTAAAAGAACCTGCTGCCCATTATGTAATTTTTTTTTAGGTTTTTAAGGATTTGGGGAGTTTTTTTTTTTCTAAGACAACAAGTTTTCTCTTATGCGCTACCTGTAGCTTGCTTGTCACCCAGTTGTTTACAGTGACATAAAATGTGCTGTAATGTTCCATAGATGGGAACATAGGTGTGGTCATGTGAGGGAGCTTGGTTCCCCATGGCTTGGATTAGGGATCTTAATCAGTATTATCGTTTCCTGATATTATGGTCCCTGCCATGACTTGGTTGTATTATCTCACATGTAGTTCATTTCACATTGCCAGTTTTTACAGCTGTATATTTTCATAGTGTTTTTGAATAAATAGCGAGCCACGGAGAAAGACTAAAGGAAATCTGGGTTGCATGCTTTTAATCATGATTGTATCTTTTAAGTATATTGACATTTTGACTAAAAGATCAACTGTGCCTTTGCATGATACATATGCATAACTACACTTTCCTATAATAAAATAATTTACATTCCCAGTTCTCTTTCATATACATAATAACTCATGGCTATAAGAAATTAATTCTATCTCATTCAGTCTCATAGTTTCACAGATATGTGAAATATATTTATAATATGTTGATTAACAGTTTTATAGTGAGATACATAGCAGCACAGCCATTTTATAAGGTAACTAACTGAAGGTGATACGGATAATTTATTGACTTTTAGTTGGCTTTTAAAATGAACTACACATTTTTTTTTTGAGGGGATGGAGGAATTGCCTGTATGGATTGAGTAAAATAGTTTACAGATTCTAGATTTTGCAATTAACCTACCCACTTTCTAACAGTAAATTAAATGGTATCTTCAAGGCTCTGAAACCAATAATGTAATGTAATTCCACTATTGGAACTAATGATGAAAAGAAAAGAGATTAAGGAAATAGATGAGAACAATGTTAAATTGTAACTTACTGTCGCTTAAGGTTATTTAGATGATCTCCATGACACAGTGGGAACAAATTTGGATATTTCTTAAATTTTGCAGATTCTATCAATAAAAAGTGTTTTAAAATTTATTTTAAATGGATTTTTCATATTCAGAGAATGTAATACTCAAGAAGCCAAAAAAGCTACTTTTTAGCAAATAGTATTCATTTCCTATATTTTCTCATAGATCTAAGAAATGTAAATTTGTTATATCATGAAATTAGAATTGAATTAAATGAGCACCTGTTTTAAAAAATAAGAATTGGAATAATTTAAAAATCATTCTCAAACCTTGGACTTTTATAATGTTATTTTTAAATTAAAATAGTTCACACGCACTAACACACAGAAAATAATTGATAATGATTCAATATATTATATTAATTTATAAAATATTTAGTGGCAGTTTCAAGTATGATGGCAAAAGAATAAAGGTTGATAAATCACACTCTTTCCTACACAGAGTTAAGAATCTAGTATAATGAAGCTTAAACCAAATTATTGTATCCCTTTAATTATTATTTCAAAAACCTAAGTTTTAAATTCTGAGTTCTAATTTACATGATGGTATGTTGACATTTATTTTTTCTCTGATGAAGTTGAAATAAGAATAAAAATAGTTAATTAGAACATCTCACTGACAATCTGCATACAGAAATAAAAATATATTGTGGTATGGAGATGAAATGCAGTCAAGATTAATGCTGAATTTGAATTAAAGCTTAATATAAAATGAGTAACGCTGATTAGGCTGTGTGTGAATAAAAATATTCTGGATGCAGAAAATTATGACATTTTAAGTATAATTTTTGAACTGAAGGAAAAAATTTAAAAGAGCAAAGGAAAGTTACAAAATTTAACAGTTGTGTTAGAGTATTTCAATGCATTCTAACAAGTTTTTCAAGCTTATTTTTTAAAAAGGTTTTATATTTCTAAAAATGATTTCAGTATTTTGAAGGCCATTTCAAAATTTGGAGTCCTAAAATGTTATTGGCTATTATAAAGACATAGCTAATAAAATGATTTAAAAAATGCTTAAATAGATAAAAATAATATCTGTTTCAACGAGTAGTCTTCAGACAGGAGAAATATAATACATGTAAAATGGCACAACCTGCGATACATAGGACATCCCCGATGAATGTTGGTAAATGTTGAATCCAAAGGTGCAGGTGTACAAAATGTCTGTAAGAAAATAATGATAAAAGTTTCAACTTCACTAGAAGTGCTAGTTTTAGTGAAAAAGTAGTTAAACATATTTATGATTGAGCTGTTTCTGATACCGGGTCACTTGATTTTCTTGTCAGTCTCAAACTTTTCTATTTTCCTCCACTGCCAGCATTTGCAAAATTTCTTGATTTCCCTATTGTTTTAGAAGATATTTCACATTGTTGTAATGGGAGGAAATAGTCAGGTGAGTAAAAATGAAGCAGAAGCCATCTACTGTATTCCTATTGAATTTTCTGCTGAATTTCTCATCAGGTAATAAGAGCTCTGACTTATTCTGTGACAAGTAAGTGTCAAGTACTAGGCAAGGTGCTGTTTATATAGCATCCAACCCTGTAAAGTAGGTATTATCTACATTGTATTGACAGATACTCCAAGACAGAGAGAGTTAAGGAGCTTATCCATGTTCATACACTAAAAATAATGGTGCTGATGTTGAAAGCTGGGTCAGTATCACCCAAAGCTGAGTTCCCAACTGGAGGAAGTATTTTCCTCTGACATGCTCCTAAACTTTGTAAACATTAAACAAAAATAGTCTACAGTAAGAATTACACATTATCAGTTTTTTATTATTACATCATTTGAGTTGTTTATATTAAAATGTGTTTCAATATAAAATTATAGAGAACACCACATTACAAATGGATTATATTCCAGAAATTTATTTCCATTATCAGATCTTAGAATATAAGGATAAGAAACACAATGAAGGACTGACAAATGAAATCCTGAGAAGAATGAACAATTTTCCTAAGAAGTGAACTTAGCAATTGGAATATGGTGTGGAATTGAAAAGTTGCAATCTATAAGTTTGTGTTCAAAAGAGGTGAATTTAATAACTTGTGAAATATTACAGAAAAAAAACAGGTTTTTTTCTGGTACAAATTGTGACCTAACAGACTAAAGGGAGGGCTAATTTGAGGCAAGATAATTTCTTCTTGTGCTGATGAAGTATTGCCATCAGCCTGGGGTAGGCAGATTGCTGAAATTGTGTAAGTGCCTTGATAGGAACAAAAGCTTCAGAGGGAGTAGAAGAACGCCGGGCTGAAATGAAGGAGAAATCTTGTGAAGTATTTTTTTCTCTTCAGAAAACATTTCAATAACATTTTGAAATGATTTTAAATTTGCTTTTCTCTCCTTC
The DNA here is from genome assembly GCF_000001405.40 of Homo sapiens. Classification (NCBI taxonomy): domain Eukaryota; kingdom Metazoa; phylum Chordata; class Mammalia; order Primates; family Hominidae; genus Homo; species Homo sapiens. The sequence continues at coordinate 154,805,464 of NC_000002.12, forward strand.
TGGTTAATTATTGAATGGTAGTGCAGGGATAATTTTAAAGTCAGCACATCATATGAATTACAGTTTGGAGCAAAGGAGCTAAAAGATTGTATTTTTACTTAACAAATTCCTGGCATCTAAATTTGTGGAACTTTTTAGTTAAAGGGCTATGATAGAAGTATATTTAAATTATTTTAAATATTGAATCAGCTCTCTTTAACTGTTATATGCAAATGATAGATTATGATGTGTAGCATGGGCATATTACAATTAAATCTCTAGTTTAAGAATGTGCATATATCACACAAAATTAAAAAGAATAATGATGAGACTCATCAAATTTACATGAAGTGATTTCCAATTTAGAAAATAGGATTTAAAAAAATTATATTTAGTGAGTTATAACCAGAATTACATAAGACAGATATGGAAATTTTATAAACAAAATGCAAAATATTCTAATGTTTCAATGTTCTACATGAACATATAGGGAAGCATAGACAATAGCCAAAAATATGTTCTGCATTCATATACTAGTTCAAGTCCGAGTCTGGCTACTTTCTAGGTAGTGTGCTTTTTGTCAAATTATAAAGATATATTCCATTTGTTTTTTGAAAACGAGTGAGATGCTTAAATAGAGTACAATTATCTCATTCAAAATGTATGTTGTTTCCTCTCGAGAATTGTGAAGGTTCTGAGATTTGATTTTACTCTACTTGCAAGTGAAAAGGCAGCCTTCCTCCATTACATGAATACTGACAGAAGACACAAGACTCTTGGGTCAGAGATAAGGGATGTTATTACTCATGACACAGTGAGCAGTATGAGCATCAGCAAAGTTGTGTCTGTCTCCTTTGCCTCTCAAGTACCAATGGAGCAATGCAATGGAACCAGACAGATGTTACACAAGCAGTGGGTTTGCTTCACAGCTGAGGAATCCAGGACTAAGGGCCCAGAACTTTTTGAGCAAGGATCAAACATTATGCCAAATGGCAAACAAGCAGATTCCCTGTCCACCAGGGAGCACACAGTTACATGGTTGTCATACTCTGGTAGACTTGACCTATTTAGTTGCTTATGTGACTAGCTAGAAAAACTGCTAAGTATCAAGAGACAAATAAGCCTTGAAGTCTGGCGTATTCAGCAATAACATACTGGATGCTAAGAGACCTGGAAGACTGCCTCTCCCGAAAAAAACACTTTGTGGCCCTACATATTCTTAGCTGCACTCAGATTTTCACATCATGTGTAAGGCTACCATCAACATGACTCCAATCAGCAGGATGGCACTAACCTACACTATTTACCTCAACCATGTCTGCCTTCCTCAGGTTTCCAGATTCAGCTACCTGAGCAAATCCTATAAATTTTAAAATATACCTTAAAAAGACACGTAACTTTCTCTTTAAGTCTCGCACTGACCTTTCCTCTTGTCCAAGGGAACTAATCCAGGTACACCAGGGTATATTAGATTCCACGGGTTTCACCTTGGTCTCAAAGACGGATGCATAGGACAATACTGTTCTGCATAAGAGTCTTGCCAGTGAGTTGAGGTGACATAAATGCCTCTGTTTCCATAATGGTGTCATTGATAATTTCACCTAAAATCAGGGACACATTTATTATCACTATTTCTAATTGGATAGTATCAGTTATAAAGATAACCACCCACAGAGTGCACAGAAACATTCAGTCATTTCTTCCTCCTGGAAGCTCCTTGAATAGTGGCCTTTTCCAGAGAGATTTCCACATTGATCTGAGGACTACAGGATTGATTAGTGGCGTTTCATTAAACATTTGAAGGGCTCTTATTACCATTCCTTGGGTACAGGTTACAGCAGGCTTGGGGGGAAGAAAGTTAATGCCTAGCATTCACAGAAATAGTACAATCTTGGTGACACACATAGCACCCTTGGAGGGAAAATGTTAATTACAATAGTCGTTCACCCAATGTGTGACCTACATCAGTCAAGGACACAGGTTGACAATGCCTCTGATGTGGCTTCCTGGCTAGGTTGTAAACCTTAAGGTCTCCAATTCAGCTAAGACTTTGTCTTTGGAGGGATAACCTGAGAACAGCAGTCTGACCTATAATATTTGTCTATACCAACTACCAGGTGGCATTTATCTATCCCATGGGATGATCCACTGATACAAATGGGGATGGAGATGAGAAGACATCTAGAGGTGGTGACAGGTGTTTTACATTGGAGCTACAGGAGCTAGGGTTGCCTCTTAATGTTTCTGATTGACTCCTTGGTAAACTTAGAGACTGGTGATCAAGTCATGGCCACCACCACCTGGTGAAGAGTGGCAGATCTAAGAGTTGTTTAAATTTAAACAGCTTGCTATCCTGTAGGAGAGATGCACTGGGACACTGGGATGTGTTTCTTTGTGAGGAAGGCACCAGGGTGGCTCTGAAAGACAAAAAGATCGTTAGTGTCTCTCCCCACTCTATCCCTCTTGGGTTCTAAGGTGTTTCCTCCCCAGGTGTTGGAGTTGGTGCTCTCTCTGTACTCCCCCAGCATCAGTGTGTCTCATTCTAGTACCCATAAACTCAACTTTTCCTCAATTATAATCTACCTGCACCCAGATCTTGCATCTGGAGTGTCAAATGGAAGAGGGATAAGGGCATTTAAATTTTTTTTTTTTTTTTGAGACATAGTCTTACTCTGTCACACAGGCTGGAGTGCAGTGGAACAATCTCGGTTTATTTCAACCTCTGCCTCCCAGGTTCAGGCAATTCTCCCTGCCTCAGCCTCCTAAGTAGCTGGGACTACAGGCACATGCCACCATGCCTGGCTAATTTTTGTATTTTAGTAGAGATGGCGTTTCACCATGTTGGCTAGGGTGGTCTTGAACTCCTGACCTCAGGTGATCCACCTGCCTCAGCCTCTCAAAGTGCTGGGATTACAGGGGTGAGCCACCACACTCGGCGGGATAAGGGCATTTAAATAAAATGTGTTGAGGTGGATTACACTCTCCTACCTTGCCTCATGTGGGCCTCTATCACAGACTCAGGATCAGTGCACTCAGTTAGTGATCATTATCCTTGTGACCTGAGAACAATAACAACCCAACAAGACAATTCAGGTGGCTGAACAAGAATTAAGTGTTAGTTCCTTAGACCACCTTTGGTCCAGGTTGCCACCTAGTCTGAGTACTTACCAGGCTGGCTTGAGGTTGTTTTTAAGGGCAAAAAATTGCATCATGACCAAAAAATGCATGGTGGCATCCCAAATTTAAAAACTAGACTGATATAACTCTTCAACCATTTTTATTTTGATTATTACCCATGAGACAATCAAGAAAAAAATTAATCTTTTGGAGAAACTGCCATATTCTGTGACCAAATTGCCTTTACTAAAGTGTATGGATCAGGAGAAGGTGAAGGAGGTGGGGTCATGAATCTTTTTCTGTACATTTTTAAAAGACCATGCCAATTCTTAATGACATCAGCATTTAAGAATGAAAAGGGGTATGAAATGTCTGTCAGATACCTTGATTATTGGCCCACTGCTAGGTGACCTTTCTGACAAAAGTTGTATCATTGTCAGATGGAAAAAGGTCTGGAAAGCTAAAAGCATGACACAGTTCAGTTTCATGGGCCACAATGATGTAGCTGGAGTTTGGCTAATCAGCTTGGAATAGTAACAGTTTTCCTGACCCCTCCCCACCCCACGAGCTCATTCCCTCAGATATAATCAGACCTAGACAGCTTTGGGTAGCCCGGTCCAGCAATGAGCACCTTACTGCATAGCAGAGGAAAGGCAAGAGAAGAAACCTGCAACTCCTGGTAAATCAACCAGGTTTTTTCTCCAGATCTCACCAGTCAGATAAGTCAGATAAGGAAAACCACCAATGAGAGGAGGTTTTCCATTAATGCTGAGAGATTAGAATTTTTATTTCATTACGGAGAAAACTGAGAAGAGCAGTGAATGATCTTACCTACAATAGGGCTGTGAAAATGAGTAGGCTGGGTAGTTGGCTAATTAAATGAGATAATCAGGTTAATTACCAAATTGAGAGGTAAAGTGAATTGTCTATAAAAGCAATTATCAGAAGCTCTCATACAAGGCAGAGAATAAGTAACATTGGATTGACAAAGAGTGGTCAGGTTTTCATTTTAGCACCGTCTACCACAGAAAGCCTTGGCTTGAGGTTTTCCTTTATTTACCGGTTTTCTATCATAGGCAGAAAGGTCCATTGTCTGTTTGTGAACTTGAAACAAAAACTTAAAGCAGTCTTGGTCATGTACTCATATAGAGCAATAACATACTTTGCAAAGTGGTATCTTATCCACAATAATTTTTTTGCCTAATACTCAAAAAGCAAACATTGCATAGCTAGTTTATGCAAGTTTTTATACCTGTGTGTGAATATTATAAAGAAATAACATTGTCTATTTTACATATTGTATATGAAATTCTATATCATAGAAAATATTATATATATATATATATGCACACACACATATATACTATCTGGATATACACACATACATGCATGCACAGATTTATTTTATTTACATTTTCCCAAAGTTCAGTTCAGTATCACATATATGGAACAATTATATGTGCAAGGCACTAAATACGGTTCTAACAATGATTAATATTGTTCCTCTCTCTCTTTCTCTCTCTCTCTCTGCCTACTTTTTTAGAGAAAGGATCTCTCTCTGTTTCCCAGGCTGGAGTGCAGTGGCATAATCTCGGCTCACTGAGCCTTGACCTCCTGGGCTCAAGTGATCCTCCCACCTCAGCCTCCACAGTAGCTGGGACTACAACTGTGTGCCACCACGCCTGACTAATTTTTTGTATTTTTTGTGGAGATGGGATTTCACCGTGTTGTCCAGGCTAGTCTTGAACTCTTGGACTCAAGGGATTTGCCTGCCTCAGCCTCCCAAAGTGCTGGGATTACAGGCATGAGCCACGACACCCAGCCACTACTGTTCTCTACAATAAATTCAAGGAATAAGAAAAACAGGCAAGACAAGAACACTTTTGGAAAACATTTCCTACTAGATAAGATATCATAAGGGCCAATTATTGAATCAATTATTGAAAACTAAGAGATCCAATACTTAAAATAATACTATTATAAGACTAGCCAGATCAGTTAATCAAAGTAGAAGAATGAAAAATAAATTTGGCATTTAACTGGCATTTCAAATCTATTTTTATTTAAAAAAATCATTAAGTGGTACCATAACAGTTGGCTTACTATTTGAAAAACTAGTCAAAAATATATCAAATCAAACTACAGATGAATTAAAAAATAAAAATGAAACCAAAATTCATTAGCTAGAAATATAATTGAAGTATTTATCTGAGCTCAATGTGGCTAAGCTATTTCTCAGGCTAGTAAAATTTAAGAAACTGCAATGGCTAAAGACATATCTAAATACATATAACTTTCTTTCCTGGCAAATGATCTCAGACTCATATAAAACTTTGTCAGAATAAAGATATTTTATTTGCCAGTGCTAATGGATGATCCTTTTACTATCCAAAGTTAAATGTTATTTTAGATCACACTGTTGGAATGTCTCTTGCATTCTCTTGTCCAAATGAAAATAGGATGACTAGGTTTGTTCCTGTGTGGGATAAAGCTTGAACAACTTTCTTCACCTTCATATATTTATTACATTTATTGTATGCTTAATATGTACCAAGTACAACTCTGGGAAAATCAGGATGTACACATCCAGAAACTTACGCAGTTATGCAGTAGGGGTGTGGCTTGGGGTTATCTCCTCCCCCATACCTTCTAAATCTTCTGGAATGCATGGCCGGAAGAGGGCTAGGAGACGTGGCATATGTCAAACGACAGGTTATATTAAAATGTGATAGGAGGGTGGTGGCTCAAAACTGGTTCCATATGCTCTTGGAGTCTCTGCCAATGAAATACCTCCTCAGGAAAGATAAGTGTTCTGGGGACAGTTTTCAGCGATTTTTCTGCCTCCGCCTCCCAAGTAGCTGGGACCACAGGTGCGCACCACCATGCCTGGCTAAATTTTTGTTTTTGTATTTTTAGTAGAGTTGGGGTTTCACCATGTTGGCCAGGCTGGTCTCGAACTCCTGACCTTGTGATCCGCCCACCTTGGCCTCCCAAAGTGCTGGGATTACAGGCATGAACCACTGTGCCCGGCCCAATCTATCACTTTCTTAGAGGGGGAAACTTTGTTCCTGTTTGTCCCTATCAATTCATGAGCCCTCACTCCACTATACCATTGTTACTTCCTGTCCTAATCCCATGAGCTCTAGCAAGCCTTTGGTCTCCAGAAACATCTAGTTAAGAAGCAAATTTCAGTGTGTTTTTCAGCCATCTTAGGGAAATGGGATAGAGGAAGACAAATTGTAGGTTTGTAGCAGAGATGGGTGGTATTTTACTTAATTCTGCCACATTTAATACACTAACCTTGGAATATACTAGCAGGGTCTGCTCCCTGTTCTTTCACATTCTCTTTAGAATAAAAGATACTTAAAGCCTCCTGTGTTTCCAGGTCGTTCACCAGTTTTCAATTGTTGGGCAAAGAAAAAAGTCCTGTTCAGCATCCGTTTCTACCAGTGACAACTAAACAAAATTCTTTAAGAGGAAAATGATCTCATTTACCAGAAGTACAAAATAACTTGGAATAACCTTGAAAATAAATGTTTAAGATGCATTTTAAGAGCATTGCAAAAAATAATTGGGTGACATTTATGTATTCCTTTGATAAATGCTTACTGAGTGATTATTGTACAAAAAACTTTGAATACCATTGCCCTGGATGAGAAGAGTCAATATTATAAAGGTAAAACTTGGCTCAGATTTATCTCTAAAATTAATATAATTTTAATCCAAAGCCCAGTAGAACCAAGCAGACACTTATATAATCAAGAAAATTTTGACAGACTGCCTTGTCATGGTGTGTAGGACACAGAATATATCCAACTTTTAGGTGAAAAAGAAGAGTTAGGACAAAAATTATAATATATATACACTTTTAATTTTAAAAGAGTCTTTAAAAAATCTCTAGCTAAGCTTTCCTGATCTACCATTGCTAATTCATGACTTTTCTATTGTGAAAGCTGTAGAATCTTCTGAATTCTGTTGAGAAGACAAATTAGAAACTTTCTCAAGTTGCTTGGAATTTCTTGTAGGACATTGATTTCGTCGTAAAGCAGTGGTTCTGATCTCCAGAGTAACCCCCTTCTTTTAGACTAAAGAATTTTTTTAAAAATCTGGGGAACTTTCTGTTTTTTCATTCATACAGGTGCAGTATAATATTGGGAGTTGATATAGGCTTTTCAAATGTTTGTTTTGATTTATTTTGGCTCTCCTATAACGAGGTTAAAAAATATAAAAACAGTTTATCTATAATTTGCTTTGCTAGGTCATATGTCAAATTGCCTGTGAATAAAGCCGGAAAAAGGGCAGTAAAAGCTTCATTCTAGATATTGTATAAAATAATCGTAAGTAAGATTTATTGAGCACTTTGTGTATATCTTATATAGTATATCTTATATATGTTAGTGTTTTACATTTAGTGTATTCACTAATACAGGCAGTATCCACAGGTAAGTATTGTGATCATTCCTGTTTTTCAAATGCAGAAACTGATGTTAGTAAGGGTAACTCATTAACCCAGGTTACACAGCTAGTTAGTAGCTAGAACTCACTCCTAATCACTATGTTGGATTGCTAAAGAGTTTCATTCATAACTTAGTAGTTAGCAGGGCCGATCACATCTTTTTTTTCTAGTCTACTTGCCCTCTTTAGTAACTAGCTTGCAGTTGTGCTTCATTTTCTGCCAGGCACAGAGATCTTTTCTACATGCAAATTATGGGAAGCTCTGCGAAGCTTCTGTTTGAAGCGTTGCTGATAAGAACCCCCATCCATAATCTCTGCAAGATTATGTTGTTAATGGTACCCTGAGTTCTGCTCCACTTGTTTCTCAAACAAACATTTTCATCATGCATGGAGCCCTGGATCAAAGTGGCCTTTCCATCCTCTGGTTCTTTCTATACTCTATTTAGCAGAAATTACTTCTATTAGAATCCAAAGTTTAATTTTTTTTTCTTTTTCTTATGTTGTTGACTGCTTCAGTGAATTCTGGTAGAACATAGGTTTAGATGGATATGGTAATTTGCCACTTTTCAAGACATTTGTTATTATTTGGGATGTTTTATCATTGGTTTAGCAAAATATGTATTATGTAAATTTGTACTATGTAAAATATGTAATATAAATTATCTTGATACTATCCAGTCAGCTGAATCAAATTTCATATCTAGAGATCAAAATGTGTAACTCTTGTTATGGACCTTATAAATGCAACCTTTGTGCCCTAAGGATACAATGTTAACACTGTGTGAGAGAGAGCTTTAGTTATAGGCCGTGATGATGTCAACTGGCATCTTCCTCACATAGAACAATGCTTTACACTCTTACTGAACCAGAGATAAATGCATTATCCCTTTAATGTTATGTTTCAATATTGGGTTTACATGCCCAGATAAATAGTCACAAGTTGTAGCCTTTAAAAATGTGTATATTCATCAACCAGTTGTGTGGTCCACATATTTGCCACTGACTGGTCAATTGCTACACTTCTCCAACAATGTCTTAAATTCTAGTCTCATCACATTCTCTCCTACCTTGTCATTACTTCCTCAACAGTTCTGTTAATATTATTGCTTAACATACATTTTTAAAGGTTTAATTTTCTTTTTAAAACTAAATTTAGTAACTAATTTTGTTGTTCACCTAACTGTGTGACTTTTGACATAAGGTGACAGCTCTATTCCCAGGGCACATGCAATACTATAAATAACTAGCAAATCTTTTAAATATATAGTGTCTAATATAACGTATAAGTATACAAATATTATAATCCTCAAAGTATGTATCAGGTATAAAATGAAGTATTTTGGCTGGGTGCAGTGGCTTATGCGTGTAATCCTAACACTTTGGGAGGCTGAGGTGGGCAGATCACCTGAGGTCAGGAGTTCGAGACCAGGCTGGCCAACATGGTGAAACCTCGTCTGTACTAAAAATACAAAATTACCCTGGTGTGGTGGCAGGAGCCTGTAATCCCAGCTACTCAGGAGGCTGAGGCAGGAGAATCATTTGAACCTGGGAGGCGGAGTTTGCAGTGAGCCAAGATCGTGCCACTGTGCTCCAGCCTGGGCAACAAGAGCAAGACTCCGTCTCAAAAAAAATAAATAAATAAAACAAAATAAAATAAATGAAGTATGTTAAGGGAGGAAATCTCTCAATATATAAAATTTACAAAAATCATTTTTACTCACCTTTTAATCTTTTTATTTTATAATTATCTCTGTAGAACTGCCTTCACAGGCCTTCAGGTAAAAATTTGTAATCAATGACTTTATATGCATTATTATGAAAGGTGACACCCAGGAACATTTTGTAATCTTTGTTAAGTTCTAAGTTCTAAGAATAAAGTGGTAGAAACAACATTTACTCTAAGACAGGAAATTTAACAGTTAATACTTTTAGAGCCAGAAAGCAATTCTGGAAAAGATTACAACTGTAAGTAGGTAAGACAGTTAAAGCAGGCACCATGATTTGCACAAAAGCAAGGCTTGTGTGTATACGGTATGCTGAAAGTGCAGGAATAGCTGCTCCTATCCCTAGGAGTCAAGCAAATACAACAGTTGAATTGCCTAATTTGTTTGACTTCTTTTCAATATAAACATTTCCTTTAAAGCCATATCTCTATAGAAATTATTTTTTTCTGTATCTTTTTTTTTCTCCTTAAGGAAGAGAGCCTTCTCAACTTCTTCAATATGTGTTTCAACTTTAACTAAATCCTAAAAAGGTAAACATACATGGTTATTAATTCAGGTATAGACAATACTCAGGAATTTAAAAAATCCTCAATGGCTAATTCTATTCCAAAGATCTATATCAATAATTGGTAATAGCAAGCAGGAACTGCATCTTTTGTTCAGTTCTTTTTTATCTCCTCTTTTTTCCTTTTGAATCTGCATTAGACATTAATATTGATTGTGCAGTCAGCTTTCAATGTTGTCCTTTGTAATTTATTTATAGGACTATCACACATGCCCATGTTTACCAGAAAGAATCAATGACTAAATGGATGGAAAATGTATTAATTAACCCAGTATAGAACTTGTGTGTACTTATGCATAGGCATATATGAAGTGCTCATGCATTTTGACTCGTGAGAGAAATGCCCTTCCTGTCTTCCTTGTATATTATATGTTTTCTGTTAATCTATGAGGCCTGCATAAGCAGACTCTTTACTTGTTCCCTGATTCAATTCTTAATATTCATTGCCTCACTGCAGGCCCTTCAGCCATACTGGACAGAATACTGCTGTTCTTACTTACCAAGCCTGTATCCATCTCAGGGTCTTTTCATTTACTGTCCTTTTGCTGAAACCCAGTTCTTCCACATATTTCCATGGTTTTCCTTGTTCCCTTTATTTACGTACCTACTCATCAGGGAAGTGTTTCTTGGCAGCCAGAATATAAATGTGTGTCCCACCATAGTGTTTTAGTATTTTTCAGAGAGCTGATCACTGCCTGCAAGCCAATTATTTGTTTGCTTGCTTACTTTTTTTCTCTTTTCATTAGAATGCAAACTTCATGAGGGTGTTGCTCTGCCTCGCATGTAGTAGATTCGCAAAACTGTGAATGATATAATGAAGAAAACCTTTATTTGAAATTCAGAACATTCTTAAATACAAAGGAGTAAATTACTTAACATGATCAAACAGTTAAAAAATTTTATAAAAGTAGCTGCAGTAAGTGAGTTAAAAATGCCTTACACAATATTATGCAAAAAGAATATTGGTTGTTGGGACTTGATCAAAGTCTTAAAAAAGTTGCTCATTTAAAAATAGCTTCTACACTACAGTTTGGATGTCACTGATTAAAAAGGAAAAAAGCGTCATCATTTGGTTTTTGTTTTTGACCTGTTTTTAACTTTTCCTTTTATGCAACATGCATTTTAGAATGCCTGCTATGTCACGTAGTATAGTATATGAATAAATGAAATCCCAAAGCTGGAGGAGCTCATTTCTATTTGGAAATAAAAGCACATTCACAAATACTTTAAAGGCTTGTGAACTGGTGAAAACAGAAAAGCACTGACAACTGGCCATAATAAAAGTTATACATATGGTGTTTAATACATACAAATAATTATATATTGGTAGGCTCTATCTTTATAAATTCGGACCATAAAATAATGGATAGAAAATTTTTGAATACATCAGCAGATGTCATAGCAAATAACTTTCACCATTAAACTTTCAGTTTATGTAAGCCTTAGGAAAAACTGATTTTCCTGAGGTGATGTTTGCATGTAAGTATTAATAATTATTCTGTACACACATTCTAAAATATGGATGTAAAGTGTATGGATGTAAAGTGTATGGATGTAAAGTGTAGCCCTTCTATCCTTATCGCAATTTCTCATTGGCCTTTACATTAATCATGGATATTAGTTTCATATCTGAAAGATAAAGCCCTGTGAGTAATTTTAAATAGTTTATGACTTTATTTTTCTTCTTCTGGCAAGTCATTTGGCCCTGAGGCATTATATCATATCTATGGCAGTCCTCAGTTGTAAAAATTATTAATGTGAGGAAACAAAAATAACACAATCATTTGAGTGCATTAATTGCATTCAAGATACAATCCTTTTCTTCCCCCTGATAATAAGAACCTATGTTTGGTTTTCTTCCCATTAATTTCATACTTCTTTTGCATTCCAATAATAACCTGTAGTCTGCAGCCTTAATCATGATAAGCAGTCTCAAATCACTTTATTTCATCACAGTGTTGGATAAACACTTCTGATTTAAATTTCAATAATTCTACATTAGCAGTGCTGATAGGAGCCTTCAATGTCTGATGGAAATTCTGCACAGGGATTACTTAGTAATTATTGGTTTCACTGAGGTTTATGTTAGAGCTGGAGTTAGCTTTTTTGCCAGAAATCCAAGCCCCAGAGAGCAAGCTGGGCCAAGTTTGCACAATCACTGCTGTTCACCTATTAGATGTGTCACAAAAAATGAAATTAAAGTCTCTCTAATGAGTGATCAAACTGTTTAAAAACCTCATAGAATTTTAGGATTATGGAAATTTAAAGAAGAGACAGCTCTATTAGGTTATCTAATCAACCTACCTCCCCTCTCTTTCTCTTAAGGGACTGTTCTTTAATGCCATTTTTGATTATTTTGTCTAGTCAACTGAAATGATTTGGTCCATAAGACTTCTATAATTCCCCCAGGATAACTTTCCCTGCTCTAATAGATTTCATTGTTAGGAAGTGCTTCCTAATAACTAAACCTTCCCATTCATCCCCTTTAATTCATGCCATTCTCGTATTTTAACCTTTGTTTTACTGTCCATTAGTTCCTGTACCTTGTATAAAACCCACATCCCAAATAAGTTTTGCCTTTATCCCATTGAGATTTAAAGCATGGTCAATAAAAACGTGTCCAACGATGTCATATTTATTAATCAAATAAGAAATTTTCTTATTTCGTGTCTTGTAGAAACTGATATAATCATTTTTATACTATTATCTCTCTCTCCATGTTCTTATATGAAAATCATGAGCCACACTTGATCATGCAAAGCTATTTGCACCCCCTTTTTGGTGGAAGAAAAGTTAGAATAAATATTCCCTTTATTATGTATTAACTTATATATGATATATGGGTATATATGGTATGATAAAAGTATACTTCATTTCCTGATACTTTTATCATACCATATGTAACCTTGGACTCCTCTAGGTTGTGGGGAATAACATAGCCTTCCTCAATTTCTGAAATTCTTCGAAGTATGGGTCTTGGATTGGAGTTAACATTGAAAATATTTTCCCACTGAAATGGCTAGGGAGGGAAACTAGATACATGTTTTTTTTTATTTTGACACAAACTAGTTGTTTGCATCCTGTCATAGACCAGTGTTGTTCAAAAGAAACATCTACTTCTCCATCTGGAGAACAGAAGAATTGAGACAGCATCATTATTACTTTGTTTTATTTAGCAGTCATTTGCATCAAACATTTTCCTAAGTGTTTTACATGTGATATCTCAGTTATTTCTCAGAATTCCAACTACAGGTATTATTACCTTTTGTCAGATGAAGAAACTGAAGCTTAGAGAGACCCTAGAAAAGTCATACACCTAAAAAAATGTCTGATTCTAAATACTGGTTTTAACCTCACTACTATGCTGCCATTCTATACTTATTTTGAAACTTTAAAAAGAAATTGTAATGACAAGAGTATTCAGTTATTTAAGAAACTATTGTTTTCTTTAATTGGTCTGTGATTACATGCATGGAAGTTTCAAAACATCTGAAAAGCTTCAGTGTGGACAAAGCACAACTGATGCTTTTGACATTTTGTCCATTTTGTTAGAATTCAGCAGCCAGCTAAACATAATAGAAATCCAATAGAGCTTGAGCTGTAGCTGCAAAAGCCTTTTTTTTTTTTTTTTTTTTTTTTTTTTTTTTAATCATCTTGTGAAATTCTACTGCAGGCCATCAGGGATTGCCAGGCAGTCCTTGCAATAGCAAGATAATGAGGCAAGGCCAGAGTGTGTCTATAATCCCAGCTACTCTGAAAGCAGAGGCAGGATTGCTGGAGCCTAAGAGTTCGAGACCAGCCTGAGAGACATAGTGAAACCATGTCTTTGAAAAAGTAAAGAAAAGAAAAAAAGACCATGAGATAACTATTGCACCTCAGCATATAGTGAATGAAAGGTATGACCAGAGGCTGAAATGGGCCCAGAACTTTGTCCTAGTTTCATGGCCAAGCAAATGTTATAAAATGTAAACTTTTAAAAAACTTTTTATTGTTAGGGTTTGCAAACAAACACAAATGTGGAGATGATGTTATAGTAAACTGTCATATACCCATCCTCAGATTCAATCAGTATCAGTGACAAATAATCAATGCTTAATTTTCTTTTTTCTGTTGAATTTTTAAGTTGAACCTTTAGAATCATGACATTTTATTACTAAATACTTCTGTGTTTTTCAAATTAATGATATATTCTTCTCTAAACACAATAACATTTTATTTATTTTTATTTATTTATTTATTTATTTTTGAGATGGAGTCTTGTTTTGTCACCAGGCTGGAGTGCAGTGGCATGATCTCGGCTCACTGCAACCTCTGCCTCCCGGGTTCAAGCTATTCTTCTGCCTCAGCCTCCTGAGTAGCTGGGACTACAGGTGTGCACCACCACGCCCAGCTAATTTTTGTATTTTTAGTAGAGATGGGGTTGCACCCTGTTGGCCAGGATGCTCTCAATCTCTTGACCTCGTGATCTACCCACCTCACCCTCCCAAAGTGCTGGGATTACAGGCAGGAGCCACCACTCCCGGATACAACACTATTATTATATATAACAAACTTAAGTTTAAGTTTAACATGTAATACTGAATTTATATTTAAGTTTTCCAGATTGGCAAAAAAAAAAATCCCTTTATGATGAGTATGTTCAAATTCAGAACAAAACAAGCTGTGTGCTTTGCATTTGTTGTGTTTTTAGAATTATGGAAACATTGCAAAATAGCACAGAGTTGGAAAATACTCTTCCCTCAGCTTCCCCTAGTATTAACATCTTACATAGCCATAGTGCAATAATCAAAACCAAAAAATTAACATTGGTCACAATATTATTAATTAACCTACTGGTGAATTCAAATTCCACCAGTTGTTTTCATTAATTATTTTTTCCTTCTTCTTCCAGGATCCAACCCAGGATCCCTTGTTGCATATACAGCCCACTTTATCTCCCAACGTTATCGAGTTATTGAAGAAACTGAAACAATTGATAGAATTTCTACATTCTGAATTTTTTGTGTTTTCTTACGATGTTAGTCACTATGTATCTTTATCCATTGTATTTCCTGAAAATTAGAAGATAGAACAAATGGTTTGATTTGATTCAGTGTCATCATTTTTAACTAAAATATTTCAAAGGTGATGCTGTGTACTTAATATTGTATCACATCAGGAGACGCAACATCTGCTTGTCCCATTTTAGTGGTGGTTGGAGGTTGAAGGGTGAAGACGCTTGAGGCCAGGTTGTTCAATTGTAAATTTTCCTATCAACTTTTCTCCTGATGGTTTTAGTATTGTGAACAAAAGTTCTCTGAAAAGGGATTTGGAAGACAGAAACTTTCTGTCTTCTAGTGAACAGTTTGCAAACCTGGCAGTTACAGCTTTCAGTGTCTAAATTCCTTTTCAGAGAAGGTTTATTCACAGTATCCATTGATAATCATTGCATGAATCACTTATTTCATTTGAGGTTGCAAAATGATGGTAATTTTCTAATTTTATTGTTTCTCTTAAAATTTATTGTCTAGAATTACTCTGTAAAAGAAAATTTGTCCTTAACAACTAAAGTGATTTAGTTACCCTGAATTTTAATTTCTCCCTTTAATTACCAACTTTTAGAGTAAAGGGTTGGTGCTCTAGCTACCTTCAGCTGAAACAAGAGATTTTATTTTCTCTTTCATTTGGTTTGAGTAATTTGTCTCTGTATCACGTCTATGTTTTTAAGTATCATTATGAGCTCCTGGATATTATACATTCAATATTTCTCTTAATTATACTCATTATTCTTTTCCATGCTCAAATTCCTTGTCTCTTATCAGTACTAGCCCAGTCAAGCTGGCCCTCATGCCCTTTGCACACAATTTCATTAGACATTGACAGTTTTCTTGTTTGTCAGCACAAGTTGTCAGTCTCATCTTGTGCATTTTTTTGCCCCAGATCTGGAATGAGCCAATCCTTCAAAAAGCCCAAATTTCTCTCTTTGTGAAAGAAAGTGAAAATGGTATTAGGAGATCATAGCCTGGATGTGAGAGTCAAGACATAGACACTATTTCTTGAAAGTGCATTATTTTTCATGAGCAGATTACTAGGCAACTATTAGAAAATAATCCACTACGAAGTTTGAAGGTAGGAAATTTTGTTTTGAAAATATTTTCCCTGTATCCCTTCAAAGCCAAGCTATCTACAAATCAGTTTCTGCACAGTAATTGAAACAAGATTCCATTAGTGTATTTTGTACTTTCCTTGGGATGGCTTTCTAATTTAAAGAACAGCCTGCCTCAAAAGCTTGCAGTGACTGAGCAGATATGCTAGCACCAACTTTTCCAAAAAAAGAAAAAGAGAATATGTGATTTTTTTTTTTTTTTTTTTTTTTTGAGATGGAGTCTCACTCTGTCGTCCAGGCTAGAGTTTAGTGGTGCGATCTCCGCTCACCGCAACTTTGCCTCCCTCGTTCAAGCAATTTTCCTTTGTTAGCCTCCTGAGTAGCTGGGTCTACAGACATGTGCCACCACACCTGGCTATTTTTTGTATTTTTAGTAGAGACCAGGTTTCACTATGTGGGCCCAGCTGGTCTCGAACTCCTGACCTCAGATAATCCATTCGCCTTGGCCTCCCAAAATGCTGGGATTACAGGAGTGAGCCACCGCTCCCAGCCTGAATATGTGATTTTTTTTTTTAAATGTGCATCTGTTGACAGCAGAACTACACCAAAGAGTGCAATCATTCTATTTTCTTAATTCTGGACTTAAAGTATGCCAATGTTACTGTTCACTACCTATACAGTATTACACTTGCCAAACTTAATGATGATGTTCTCCACGAAAACATCAGAAACAAGGCAGCAGAGTAACATTTTTCTGACTTCAGTAAATAGTTTTGTAATATATTTTCAGACGTTTACAAATGAACACGAGCAGGTTTGCAAATATCTGAGGTGGAATAAGTCAAATGTACATGATCATGTAAATTTTCTTAATATGTGGGATTGAAACTACAGTACTAAATCTACAGTACTAAAATTCATACTTTCTATTTTTTAACTGTGTGCCTCATAATTATCTTGAACCACTGAGGCATTTCTGCAGCTCTAACTGACCTAGGATGACATTTACAAATGGTCTGTTCAGTTTCTCTAATTGACCAAATGAAATAGTACTGTGGCAAACACTAGAATTGGATCCATAAAAATCTATCCATTCATTTTTACAAATAAAATAGTTTTCTTTCCACTTGTCATTCCTTCATTGACATGATGAACTCAGTTTAGTTAATGTAGTTGGCACTTTATGTAGCAGTTTCTGAGCATTTTGCTGTGCTAATGAATACTATGTTTGAATTGCAGTAAACATACCTATTTGATTACAGGAGTAAAGTTTTCATTCCTCCAAGTAAATGAAACATTAATTAATATGCTAATTAGATATTTTTAAATATATAATTTTAAATTGCTCAAATTATTAAAATAGAATATATTTTCTAAAAGTACCAGCAGTTGAATTCACAGTATACCAAAAATAGTTGAATAAAATAATCTGATATAGTAGACAGAAATAATTTGTGGTACTATAATTCTAAATGCTTTTAGCTGACTAAGTAATAGTGTAATATTTGTTAAATTTGGCATTGGATATAATATGAAACCATTAATATAAGTATATAATTACTATGTATTAATCATATGTAATTAATATATAGCATTAATATGTTTCTTATGCATATGAATATAATATTAAAATCTGATATTTTTATAACATGAAGGATATTCTTTTTATGAAGAGTACATGTTTGAAGTACATTGTTTGACTACTGGGAACCGAAACAGATGTTTCTAATAATTTACATTGCCAAATAATATTGATATGGTACTAATAAAAAGTATGGTACATACAATCATGCATATGCAACATTGAGTTAACTTTTAATCCTTTATTACTGCACAATGAATGGAATTATATGAATAATAATCAAAAGGACAAAAGGCAATGATAAAATAAAGAATAGTTGATGTTTTGATAGAGAATTAGAAGGGCAGAAGGAGATGGAAAAGAGAGAGAGAGAGAAAGAAAAAGAGGCCAGGGTAAAGTAAAGAGAATTGCAGTACCGTAGAAACTTTCCACATTCTTTTTTTTTTTTTTTACATCGAGTCAATGACTAAAGTCCAGCAATAATCACGGTTTGATTTATTCAGTTTTTTATCTCTTCAACCAGCAGGTATTTAGAGCATCTACCATGTGGTAAGCACATAGATCCCAATGCCTACATCTCTCAAATGTAAACTCCTTCTCTGCTCTCACTGCCTTCACTGACTCTTGAATATATCAATTCCTTGTTTTTTATTCCCCTTTTCAATATAATGTATATCTGCATTACAAACTCACTTCATATATTGCCTCCTCTTAAGTGGTGTCCCCAATCTTACTCAGCCCAATTTAAATTAGTTTCCTGTTATCACAATATTTATACATATACATCTTAGTTTATTTATATTGCTTTTTTGTAAGGTGTTTATATTTTTGTCTTCTATAGAAGACTGTGATGTCCATGGAGTCAGGGGGTTTGTGTCATTTATTCGTCTTTGATCTTATGACTTTTTAGTGTTTAGCATAAAGGAAGTACTCATCATATAATTGTTGAATAAATAAATTAATGAATGAAGAGCTACAACTTCCTTGAAGTAAAACTTATTGGTGTATAGAGTTTTGTTTGTTCCCTTTGCAATGAGAAATTGAGAAAATTATATTTGGCTTTAAATTACCCTATACTTAGGCCTGATGTAGTGTGGCTCACACCTGTAATCCTAGCACTTTGGAAGGCCGAGGTGGATGGATTGCTTGAGCTCAGGAGTTGGAGACCAGCCTGAGCAACATGGTGAAACCACATCTCTACAAAAAATACAAAAATCAGCCGGGCATAGTGGCATACACCTGTAGTCCCAGCTACTTGGTGGGCTGAGGCGGGGAGGATCACTTGAGCCTGGGAGGTCATGGGTGCAGTAAGCTGTGATCGCGCCACTGCACTCCAGTCTGGATGACAGAGTGAGATCTCATCTCAAGAAAAATAAAATAGAAATAAAAAATTACCCTATACTTGAGAATATATTACTGTCATATTATTTTTATTAATATTTATTCTTGATATATTCACACCAGTCTCCTTAAATATTAAACATCAGCTTTTCATTTTAACAACGGTTTGGGTGCCTAAAATATGTCAGACATATGTAAATCCCCCTGCACCAAATTTGTGTTTTAAAAGTGATTTTAAAGTCAAGGATTTATTGAGGTTCTACCACTGAAATAAAACTAGTGAGTAATCTATAAAAAACTTAAGATATACCTGTTATTTGCAATGGTATTTCTTGTATTGAGAAACATATAAATGTATTTTATAAACAGGAAAACAAACAGTGTTTATTTTTTAATTATGTAATACAAACCATTGTCGTGTATGGAAATCAGGAAGCAGAATCCAGCCAGAAGAAAAGAATGTTGCAGAAACCGCATGAATAGTTGTGTAACTAGAAGATGGCTTATATAAAAAAACACATTAATAACTTACCTTGCAGGGGTGCAGGCCAAAGCAACTACTGTGCACTAATGACTGCAGTGGGGTCTTCTCAAAAGTAATGCAGTGAAGCATGTGTGAATCCTCTTTATGGGAAAATATTATGTGGATGATTTGGTGTTGCAGTCCTGCGCAATCCGTTTTGAGTATTTCTCTTAAGATAAATACTTGCTTATTTACTTGATGTCTCTCCCCTTCCTTTTTAATAGTCTGTGCCTTGTTTATAACTTTTGTTTTCTTTAATACATTCAAGGTACTTTCTGGCTTCCCTTTTGGGCATGCTAATAGGCAGATCTCTTGGCCTGGAACAGTCTTCCTCCCAACTTACCCTTTTCCTGTCATCCTTCTGTGTTTTTCCTACCTTTGGAAGCCTTCTCACTCTTCTTGACCTCATGCTCAGGGTGAATGCCCAGCTTTGTCTTCCAAAAGTGCCTGTGATGGAATTATCAAACTTTGCTGAAGTGTTGTATTTAAAAATCTATTCATTGCTAGTTTCTTAGGTCCACGAGTGGGAATCTAACCTGTTTTGCTTACCAATTTATCTTCAGTGCCTAGTACAATATTCAATATCTAATGTATGAGTGAATGTTAATGATGTAACTGAAATATTAGGAGAAATATTGTGTAGCAAGTAGCAATTTCAAAGATCTAGTCACAGTAATGAAGGTTCAGGACCCCAAGAACTCATGAAATTATTTATTTATTTATTTATTTATTTATTTATTTATTTATTTATTATTTTTTGAGACAAGGTCTTGCTCTGTTGCCCAGACTGGAGTGCAATGGCATGATTACAGCTTACTGCAGCCTTGACCTCCCAGACTTAAAGTGATCTTCCCACCTCAGCATCCCAAATACCGGGGACCACAGGCATGCGCCACCACACCCAGCTAATTTTTTTTAACTTTTGTAGAGAATGAGGTCTCACTATGTTGCCCAGGCTGGTCTCAAACTATGGGGCTTCGGTGATCCTCCCACCTCGGCTTCCCAAAGTGCTGGGATTACAGTCATGAGCCACTGCACCTGTTTTTTTTTTTTTTTTAATTATTAATGTTAACCTATTACAAACAAGCTTAATCATGCAATCACATTCCACCCAGGATACAGGGCTGTGATAGAAGTGTTAATAGTCAAAAGATTAGTGGTAGAATTACCTAATATAAACTCACAATTCATTCTATTGAAACAAATCCTTGATAATACTTCTCTCCCATTTATTGGTCTTATAGAGTAAATATTTCCCATATTTAACTTAGAGGGAAGAATAACAGAAATTGATTGAGGCTCTGACTAACTTACCTATGGCATCCTTTGTCGTTTGGTTTCAAGATTCATGAATTGTTTATTGAGGGCCAGCTATGTACGAGACTAATCATTAGAAGGGGCACAGATGAATAAGAAATAGTCTGCCCAATGGGATATGTGAAAATGTTTATAAAGAGTGGTTCAGAATACACAGCAGTTTGGCTAACAACAGCTTTTCATTCTGAAATGTTAACCTTGGCATCTGGAAATTTTCAAATACTTATAAACTGTTTAAAGAATTTCAGACCCTTATGTTGTTTTCCTGTTACTTGTATAAAATGGAATTTCTTGAAGACACTAGTCATTTGCAGTGTTGGTTAATGAAGTTGTGGTAATTTAACTTAATGTTGGAAAGGCCATTACTATTTTCACATATATAATTTACTAAAAATTGTCATTAAAATAAGCTTTGCAGACATAAAGTTAAAACTCGTTTTATATGGAGCTAGAAATAAATACATGCAGCTACTTTTGCACTGTTGTTTCTCTTTGACATGAGCACCTTGAGGATCGGGGTTGTCCCGCCATGAGATATGATGAATGTTAGCAAGACTCCTTGTTACAAAATACCCCACAATGAATTCAGAGAGCACCAATTTTGTTACACATGTTTAGATCAGACATTTTATTTTTATAAATGAACCTATCTGTTTGTGCACGTGTGTGGATGTGTGTGGATGTCAGGGGCGGGGTGATATTTTCTGCAATTTCATTTTAATGTAAAGCAGGTACACTTCATTTATCAGAATTTTGGACTTACTAAGTGTGTATAATTTGTATTTCGTGTTCAAAACAGCATATGTGATTTGGGGACCTCTAGGCATCTTAGACAGTTTCATTTTTCAGAGCAGGTCAGAGTGTGTGTGTCTCTGTTTAGCTGAGCGTCCAAGATCCTTGTTTCGTTTTCTGATTGGTATATCCTGTTCTTGGAGATGACAACCTTTTGCCGAATTGTATCCTTCTCCCAGCTTAATAAGTCTGTTTTTATTTTGCTTGAATTTTTTTCCATTCTGATAGTTTAAAATAAGCATATCTTTTAATTGACTTATATCTTTTTTGATTTGCTGAGAAAATCTGACTCCTAAAGGCAAAGCGCTCTAGGCATAGACTTTTCTTTAGCTTTTTACTTTCTTGGCTTCACTAATCTTTGGGGTGTTTTTCTATTTTATTCAAAAAGAACCTCTTTTTAAAAGAACCTCTCATTCCTTTTCACTTGTATGTTGATAAAATCTATTATCGTCCTGTGACTTAATGCTCTAAACCCAGAAATTTCCCCTAAGGCCTTTCAAAGGTGATATTTTTCCTAAATCAGTTTAACAGATGTTCTGCTTAACATCCTGCCTTATGTTAATGAGACTGTTTCTGCTTGGCAAGTAGGAAGAGACAGGGACCCTTTCTAGTAATAACTGCTGCTTGAAACACAATTTACAACAGACTCTAAACCTCTGGAAGCCTCTCAATCTAGTGACATTTGGAAGACTCAGGAGGAAAGGAAGGTGTAAACAATTCAAATACAGGCTATATAGGTGCTTTCTATAAATGTTCAAGAAATTATTATTTTTTGGCATGTGCATTTAAGGTTTTATTTTTAACCAGGCTTTTACTATGTTAGCCATATTCACTGTAATATATTCTAATCAAGTGCATCTTAATAGAAATTAATAAATATAAACACGTCTTAGTCATAGAGTACCTTATTAGCATTATAAGCAATTTTGTTCTTCAATGTAACTTAACAATTCTAATGATCAAATTCTGGAAAGAACAGTATATTTTCTGTAAATAACTTAGATTTTAGAAAATATAAACAGATACCGTCAGATGTTTATTCTTGTGTTAGATGAAAGAACACATAATTTTTGACTTCTATACTTCATTATCTTCATATGAATTCTTTTCACATTAAATGGGTGGCAAGGTTGATATCCGCATTGTAGTTATGCTAAAACTAAGTCTTAGAAGACATTTATACTGTAATGACTCAGTTCTGAAGAATTACTACTACTTACCTATTATTGTCAACATTTAAAAATTATAAAGCATGGTTTTTACATTACTGCATGGGTAGGTTTCACTGATGAGAGCCATCATATGAAAACCACACGAACCTGAACTTTGTAAAAGCTATCCAAGTGTTTTAAACAGATATTAAAAGCTTTAGATATCCTACTGGGGCTCCCAGTGATTGCAGTCCTGCCCACCTCCCACATGCAAGGGCCATCAGGGAAGGGAAGCGTGGAAGTTCCCATGTTCTGGGAGTGGGGAAGGTTGAGTTAGAAGCATCAGTATGATCAGGATCATCAGTTTACTGAATGGAGCACAAGTGTTGGAATTTTTGGGTGGTGCTTTGTCGAGACTGGTCAAGAGATTTGAAATAATCATTGTATTGCATGCCTTTGGGTTTGAGAGATGTCCATATGACCTGGCAATGAGAACAATAACTAGACTCTTAGCTCAGACCAAACTGGGCTGTTCTAGTCCAATGTGAAGCACAAGTTTGGGCATCTCCTCAGTTCCCAAACTGCTCCCTTGAATGCTATTCCCTTTGGCAGGGGTGATAAATCTCTTTTAAACTAATTATCTCTTCTCTCCATGCCTTTGGGTATGTAAAGTCTTGTATCTTTTCAAAATAAAGAACTTTTGCTCTATATTGCTAAATAGGAAGATTTAGGGGTAAAATATTTAGTTTGAGTTTTTCAAACAAAATACAGTGAAAAATAGAACTTATTTAACCAATTAAGTATATCAAAAATATATTATGCCAGGTATGTGCTCTTATGGTATATAACTGATTTTATATAATGTTTACATCTGAAGTTAAAAACTTAATAAACACTTAATAATGACTATATCTGCTGTACCATCTTGATTGTGTGACTTTCCTCTGTGGCCTGGTAAAGTGGAGGTTAAAAATATCTGTGGGACCTCAGAATGGGTATACTAAGGGACTGAAACTCAAATATTATTTATTTATGTATAACTGATATTGTAGGTTCAGGGGTACATGCACAGGTTTGTTATACAGGCAATTAGCATGTCATAGGGGTTTAGTGCACAGATTATTTTGTCACCCAGATAATGAGCGTAGTACCCAATAGGTAGTTTTTCAATTCTCACCCTCCTCCCAGCCGCTACCCTCAAGTAGGCCCTGGTGTCTATTGTTTCCTTCTTTATTTTCATATGTACTCAGTGTTTCACTCCCACATATAAGTGAGAACATGTAATATTTGGTTTTCTGTTCCTGCGTTAGTTTGCTTAGGATAATGTCTTCCAGCTCCATCCATATTGCTGCAAAGAACACGACCTTGTTCTTTCTTATAGCTGTGTAGTATTCCATGATGTATATGTATCACACTTTTAAAATCCAGTCAACCAGTGATTAGCATTTAGGTTGATTCCATTTCTTTGCTATTGTGAATAGTGCTGCAATGAACATATGTGTGCATGTGTCATTATGGTTGAATGATTTATATTCTTTTGGGTATATACCCAGTAAAGGGATGGCTAGGTCATACGGTAATTTTAAGTTTTTTGAGGAATTGCCATGCTGATTTTCAGTGTATAAGTGTTCCCTTTGCTCTGCAACCTCACTAGCCTCTATTTTTGACAGTTTATTAATCAATAAGAAATACTAATAATAACATTCTTATTATCAATTAATAATAGCCATTCTGATTGGTGTGAGATGGTATCTTATTGTGGTTTTGATTTTTATTTTTCTAATGATTAGTGATGTTGAGCACTTTTTATATGCTTGTTGGTGACAGATATATCTTCTTTGGAAAAGTCCCAAATATTATTTATAAATGATAGTAGAGAAGGAGACAGATGGCTGTTTCCTTCACATATTCTAGTAGCAACCTCTAATTAAAATGAGGTAACTCAGAATATAAGTAAACCTGTACAGAAAGTTCATCTGGAAAACCTTGAATTACGTTATAAAAAGTGAAAATAGATAAGGCCAGGATAAATACAGGAAATTCCTCCTCTGTACCTCAGTTTCCCTCTTTGATATAAGCTAGTGTTTTAAATTATGTTTCCTCAGGCTTCTCCAACTCAAATTAGTCTGGATTTTTAAATTGCACTATTCAGGCAATAAGGTTATTCACTTACAAAAGACATAATTTTTATTTCATCAGATCTGAATAAAGTACAGTTTCTTTGCCTGTTTTGTTCTCATATTCCTGAAAAAGTAGCATTGAATTATGGCTATATTCCAGCAGATTCTTGTTGATTATAGGAAAGTTAATGCCTTTTATTAAAACTGTATTTTAAAATCATCAAAACACTATAAGATTATTATACCTGTTTTTCCAGAAAAGAGCCTCGGAAAAAACAATTGCATTAAGATGCGCTTCGTGTGTTTCAAACTTAATGTATTTAATCTTGATTAGTTGGCTGAGACCCAGCCAGTGCTCTGTCAGCAGATCAGGAGTAAAATAAAGAGGCTATAATTAATGAAATTAATGCCAGATATAGAAACTTGAGACTTGAGGTGACACTTTGGTCATAACATTTCCTTTGAACTTGGCAGAATGGAGAGACAGCTTAGTTGGAAGTAATTGTTCTTAGTTTAATGGCACATGATTAGATGAGAATGATTATTTTTCTCATTCTACTGGCTGCTAAGACTGTTGGCAGGGATGACTCTACAAAACTGTCAGACAAATTTGATCAAGAAGTTCAGAAAATGAAAGGACATGATTTAATTTACTATTTTTATCTTTCCTTTCTTACAAGAAGTACAAGTAAAATTTCAGAGTATGTCCATCTTCATCATTGCAACAATAAGAAATTGTTCCTAGCCAGCCTTCCTCACCTTCTAAATCCAATTAGTTGTCAAGTCCTGTTAAATTTCCCTTCTAAATATCTTTTTGATCTATCTCTGCAGTCACTTGTTTGGCCATTGTCTTTTACTACAGCTTCTCAATTGGTTTACTTGTTCAGTCTTGACCTCATCAGATATTTTCTCCAATGGACAGTCAAAGTGATCTCTGCAAAACACAGTCTCATAAGACTGTGTCACAGCCTTTGATAAAGCACAACAGTTACCCCTTACTGAATGGATTAGCATTTTTTTCAGGTGATAAGTACAGTTTCCCTTCAATATACAACACCAAATACTCCTTATCTGATGGAGGTTTGTCATCATTCAAAAGAAATGGAAAAGTCTGTTTTACTCTAAAAATAGTTTTGTATAAGACTCCATTTCATAAGATTAAATCTTTAAATATTAATAATTACGGTAGTAATAATAGTCAATATTTATTGAGTACCCCTTGAAAGAGAAGAAGGGCGATTATGAGGAACAGTTTTAAGGTTAGGATAATTGCCAGGTCTGTCAAAGACTGTTGTCAGTACTAGCTGTAGCATGGGGTGGGGGAGATGATACCAGGTTAAGGACAGTGTCCAATGGGCCACATGTATGGATGAGATGTGTCATTGAGGGAAAACAGGCAATGTCTATAAAAGGTGTGCAGAATGTGTATTCTGCTCTCAGTGTTCATAAATATTTATTAAGAACAGAAAATTTATGCAACGATACCACCAAGGTACTGGCAAATATTTTTAACTGTACATGCAGTCTAGGTCAGGGAACATTGCTTTGATTACATGTTACAGCACTTTGCAGGAGCACATCTAGGTGGGGATGTATCTTAGTCCATTTGTGTTACTATAAAAGAATACCCAAAGCTAGGTACATTATAAATAAAATAAGTTTATTTGGCTCATGGTTCTGCAGGTTGTACAAGAAGCATTTGCTTCTGGTGAGGACTCAGGCTGCTTCCCAGTCATGGCGGAAGGTGAAGGGGAACCAGTGTGTGCAGAAAACACAGAGATCATGTGGTGACAAAGGAAGCAAGAGAGAGAGGGAAGGAGGTGCCAGGCTCTTTGTACCAGCTGTCTTTAGAATTAACAGAGTGAGAACTTACCACCAATACATTCATGGAGAATGCATTGCACCAAGACATTCATGAGCGATCTGCCCCCATGCATCTAGACACCTCCCACCGGGCCCCATCTCCAACATTATGGGTCAAATTTCAGGAAGATATTTGAAGGGTTCAAGTGTCCAAACCATAGGAATGGGTTTCAATTTAATTAAAAAAAAGTATGAAATCAAATGTATGAAAATGGAAAGGACTTGTGATAGTGAGAGTCCCTGAAGCTTAATCTTCACAAGTATGTTAAATCCACCTCTGGCCAGTTGAAGTTTTGAATGTTTAGTTAATGTTCCTCTTGAAACATAGTCTATGCATGTTTCTCTTTGTTTGATGGTGATGGAAACATTTCTCTTTTAAGATTATAGCATATTCTCATTATAGTCCTAAACTTGGATCTTATGTGATAACACTTTATAGTAAGCTCTGCTTGTTCCACCATTTGTTAGATATTTTATATACTTAACCAATTGATGTCTGAAGACAGATTAAGAAAATAATATGTATTGCTTGAGGGAAGAAGCAGTTATAAAAGAGTATGATAGCCAATAAATAACTTGGAGTTATTAACATCAGAGGAAATGGAGCTTATAGAGTGTATAAGCAATAGTGATGGCTTCAAATGGAGATGCTTTACATTGTGAAGAATGATTAAATAATTTTATCTTTGTTCACAGAAACTTTAACATTAGACTGAGGCTTCTGAAATTGGCTTATAAGGCACAGAAAATCTACGTATTTCTTGCCTTCATTTGTTTTGGAGAGTTGTGTGGAGATATGGAATAGGTACAACAAAACAGATTTGCTTATTTACTTAGGTGACTCGGCAAAATGTTGCCAAATGTGGTGAGCAGGGTATTTAGAATATACAAATTTCAGAACAACAAAAATAGGGTTTGACTATGTGACTTCTCATTCCACCCTTAAAGGCATTGTTTTTAAATTTTTAAAATTCCTTGAAATATAGTTCTAGGAATTATTATAATGAAAATTTAGAAATTGTTAAATAAGTAAGCAGATTTGGTGGTAAATCTTTATGTCAATCATTTTTATTTCATTATATGCATCACGGTATGTAGGTCCTTTATGGCATAGTGAAATGGCTGAAATGTAGCATGTAATCATACAGCCTTTGTGGAATAGTTAACTTAAAGAACAGAAATAATGTGGCTTCACCACTTACAAACTGTGAGGCCTTAAGCAAGTTATGTAACCTCTCTTAAGTACAAGGTTTTTCTGTTTTTGTTATTTAAATTTTTTAAACTTTAAAATTTTCCAATTAATAGACTTTAGAGCAGCTTCAGACTCTCAGCAAAATTAAGCAAGTAGTACAGGGAGTTTCCATGCATGTTCCCCCCAGCCCAATCTCTACTCCAGCTTCTCACACCATCAGTTTGCAGCATGCTGTGGTACATCTGTTATAATCAATGAACCACACTGACACATCATTATTCAGCCAAGTTCATAGTTTACATCAAGGTTCATGCTTTGTGTTATATATTCTGAGTTTTAACAAATGTATGATGATGTATAACCATCGTTGTGTATCAAACAGAATAATTCCACTGCCCTAAAAATCTCTGGTATTCTATCTATTCATCCCTCCGTCTCCCTAAACCCCTGGCAATCACTGATCTTTCTACTCTTTCCATAGTTACATTTTCTAGAATGTTATATAGTTGAAATAATACAGGATGTAGCCTTTTCAGATGATTTCTTTCAAATCATAATATGTATTTAAGGTTCCTTCATGTTTTTTTGTGGCTTAATAGTGTATTTTTTTTTATTACTAAATAATAATTCTGTTGTATGGCTGTACCACAGTCTGTCTCCTACTGAAGGCATCTCCATGGCTTCCAAGTTTGGGCAATTATAAATAAAGCTGCTATAAACATTCCTGTGCAGATTTTTGCATGGACATAACTGTCCAGTTAAACTGGGTAAATATCAAGGAGTGCAACTGGGTAAATATCAAGGGTTGTATGGTAAAAATATGTTTAGTTTTGTAATAAACTGGCAAACTGTCTTCAAAAGTGACTGTGCCATTTTGCATTCCCATGAGCAATGAATGAGAGTTCTTGTGATTCCATAACCTTACCAGCATTCGGTATTGTCAATGTTTTGGATTTTAGCCATTTTGATAGCCATGTAATGATATCTCATTGTTTTAGTTTGCAATTTTCTGATGACATATGATGTTGAACATCTTTTCATACACCTACTTGCCATCTGTATATCTTCTTTGATGAAGTCTCTGTTAAGGTCTTTTGCCCATATTTTATTGAGGTATAGATTTTTCACCTGAAAAATAAAATATTAATTATATTACAAGGATTTGAAAATAAATCAGTTAGGCCGGGCACGGTGGCTAACACCTGTAATCCCAGCACTTTGGGCTGCCGAGGCGGGTGGATCACGCGGTAAGGATCGAGACCATCCTGGCTAACATGGTGAAACGCCATCTTTACTAAAAATACAAAATATTAGCCAAGCATGGTGGCGGGCGCCTGTAATCCCAGCTACTCCGGAGGCTGAGACAGGAGAATGGCGTGAACCTGGGAGGCGGAGCTTACAGTGAGCCGAGTGAGCCACTGCACTCCCGCCTGGGTGACAGAGCGAGACTCCATCTCAAAAAATAAAATAAAATAAAATAAAAAATAGAATAAGTCATTTAAGTCTTTTACCATAGAACCTAGCATATAATATATATGCAGTAAATTTTAAATGATGCCATTTTTATGAGTTGTCTACATCATAATAACATACTTAATAATAACTTCTCATTCCACCCTTAATAGTAAATTTTAAAAGTTTAAAATACCCTTAATTATAGCTTTATGAATTATTTTAATCAATTATAATAATTAGAACCAAATGTTGCTCACTCCTCCTCACCCCAGCTTCTCTTCCTATTTTTTTTTTTAAATATCATTACCTCCGATATTCTTCCTTTTGATTTGGCTTAAAGCATTTCTGTTATTCTTGATTCATAAACTAAATGCAGAAAAATGTCATTTTATTTCTCTGAAACTTTTGTTAAATAAGACATGAATCAGTCATTACTTCATTAAGTAGGCTCAGAAAAATCTTGGATACTTTTGTCAATATGTATAAGAAAGGATTTAATCATTACAGTTTATATATTTTTCAGGTTAATTGGAATATTACCTTGTTAATTTTTGAAATGCTTATTAGGCAGCATAAAATGTTACTTAAAATAACTTTACGACAATAAATTATTTTCTTTTTTTTGTTTACTATTCAAAAAGTAATATATTTAAGGGTAAATATCACTAGCAAAGGGATGTTAAAATTTGCAGATTATATATGAATATATAATATTCATGAATATGAATATATAATATTCATGAATATGAATATATAATATTCATGAATATGAATATATATCAAAATATATATATATGAATATATATTTTCTGGATGACATAATAATTTATACCTGTGGATAAGTTTGGCCACAACGTAAACCTTTTCTTCACCAATTATTATTTCTATCTAATGATTCCTAAGAGTATATGGCCAAAGAGCTCGATTTCCAAAATCCCAGGTGGCTTAATTTACCCAACCTTCCTCCTTTCTCTCTCCCTTCCTTGTTTAGACGTTAGCTATGTCATTTTATAATATTAACAAGCTTTTGAATATTAGGCAGTTTCATATATTTTATATCTTACTATCATTCATATAATATGGATAATTATGTTCATAAATGTCAAAACATTCTTCACATATGAAAAAAATTTTCTGAAAGGTCACCAGACCTAGAGAATTTTATATCTAGACCTTGGCTCTTGATTTTAACAGAATGCTTATAGACAGATTATCTTTTAGTTTAAACTCTAGCCCAGCATTTTGGGAGGCCGAGGCAGGTTGGTCACCTGAGGTTAGGAGTTTGAGACCAGCCTGGCCAACATGGCGAAACCCTGTCTTACTAAAAATACAAAAATTAACCTGGCGTGGTGGCATGCGCCTGTAGTCCCAGCTACTCGGGAGGCTGAGGCAGGAGAATCACTTGAACTCAGGAGGCGGAGGTTGCAATGAGCCAAGATCACACCACTGCACCCCAGCCTAGGTGACAGAGCAAGACTGTCTCAAAAAAAAAAACAAAAAAAAACAAAAAAAAAAACAAAAAAAAACAACTAGGAGAAAATCTAGCCTGCCTTGGAGTTGAGCTACATTTTAGCATTAAACTTACAGAGCTAAATTGTCATTTCTTTTCTGAAAATGTCAATTTTAAGGAAGTCACTGTTTGCATTTCATATGTTATTTGTCTCAGCATTTTTATATCTTTGACTTCTTAAAAGTGATTTTCTGTTTTTTTTTCTTAATTGAAATAAATTACATGTAAGGAAATGAGAAGCCATGTAGTTTAGGAAACTTTTAATAATGTGACTTTAAATGCCTATTTATGTCATGGCAGAAAATTAAATTCCTTTATCAGACTTGTATATACATGGTCAAAGCAATCATTTATTTTTTCTTTTAAAATACATGTACTAAAATAATATATATTTGTGATTATTATTGTGATGCATTTTCGCAACCAAAATACAAAGCATTCCAAAATGTTTTCATAAAATTATAGGGAATTTATTTTTCACTTAGGTTCTATAAATAGCATAAAAGAAAAATTAGAAGCAAAATTCTCTGACCTTTTACTGCAAAGCATAGAACCAGAACAACTGCTGAATTGCAAATATTTATTCAGGCCCTGTTTTAAGCCTGCAAGCAAACAAAATGTATTTGAATTTCTGCCAAAGGAGATGTTAAAAAATAGCCCTAGTTTGTGATTTAAAAAGATGTGGCAGCCTATGTAAAGAGTAAGACTCATGAGTTGGGGTAAAACAATTTTAAAATTGTCAGGTAAAAATAGATACAGTGTATTTTAAAGGTGATCAATCATAGTTACACGAGGGATAGAAATTTCACCAAAACTTTAGATTCCATGGATGTCAAGTGTGTAAGTGTATCAAAATGTCCAATTCCTGTAATTATTCTATGGTTTAATGATTGCATGACGATAAAGCCAACTTTTTTAGTAAATGTAACTAGATATGCATCTATCTGTGTATAATTTCATAAAGGCGAAAGGAAAAACACATCTGGTTATGACTGAATTTGATTTGTCAGCAAATGTATCTTACTTTTTTGTGCAAAATTCATGATTTAAACAATGATTATATATAATTTATGTTGACATTCTTGCCCCCTCACTAATCAATATAAGAAGCTCTTTGTATGGATGTTTCAAAGTCAATTTTTGAGTTCATGAGTTGAATTAACATATCATTGTCTTAAAAGCACAGGAAATAATCCAGATTGAAATGTAGCATATATTTATTTCAATAATAATTATATTCCTTTTATTTTTATTTGTGACCCTCTGGAGTGGTGGTGAAGTAGATTGGTATAGTAATGGGAATGGAAGACTTTTATTATTCAAAAAGTTGACTTCACCTGTGCTAACATTTTTAACCTTCCCATTCTTCCTCTTTCTCCATTCCTTCTGCTGTCTCTCCTGTGGAATGCATTAATCATCTCATACCTGGCACAATGCTGGGTAAGGAGATGGATAAGGTATATAAGAGCTCGCTTAAGAAGCTTACTGTAATCTGAAATGTGTCTGTAACTGCAGTGAATTATAAATAGGAATTATATGTTGACTGGTGATGCCTTTGCATGTGCTCTTTTTCCATCCACCCCAGAATGTAGTTTTCTCACATTGCGGATATAGACTATATGGGAAACTGCTACTTGCCTTTCCAGAATAGGTTTAAAAATGGAATTTAAGAGAGTTTATTCTTCACTTTATTGTTATAGCACCTTGTAATTTAGCATCTGGAAAGCCTGGCAGAAAGGAAATTTTAATAAATGAATAAATGTTAAATATTATTACTGATTGATTGAACTCAAGTATGTAAGTCATTGAGACATTTACAGTACATAGAAGGTGCAGGATGAGTGTGTGTATGTGAATGCATGTTTGTGTGTGTGACAATATGACACATTCAAAAGACAAATTAAGATGGAGAAATCAGGAATGACTTCATAAAATTAAGAGCATTTCGTCAGCCTTGAATGTGAGGAGTTATGTCAACAGGTGGAGAGATGGAAGAGGACATGCCAGGCATCAACCAAGTAATATGAATGGGAAATAGTAGTTTCTAGCTAATGGAAAAGTCAATAATTTATGAAAACAAAATAGCAGACTAGCATGGAGGTGAAAAAGGCTGGCTCTAAAATTGAGGACCTGAGTGTGTATTTTGACTACAACCATCTCTCGTCCTGTGATTCTGGACAAGTGACTTTACCTCCCTGTACCTCAGTATCTTTATCAGTCATATGAGAAAAAGAACAGTACATACTTCCTAGGGTAGTGAGGAGAATTATATGATAATACACATAGAAACACTTAGGATCCAGCACGTATGTTTTTACTGTGTGTGTGGTTATTGTTGTTAAAGATTTTTAAGAGTGAAAATTGTAATGGTAAGTTAGAACTAGATTTTGAAGGAACTAGAAAGACATGCTAGAAAATTTGGGGTTTATTTTTATTACCTATTTAAATTTTGTTTATTTTATATAAATGTAACATTGTAAAGCATGACATTGTAAAGCAAGGCTTTAGTAATCTTTGAAAACAGAAATTAACCTAAGTATTTGATTATTGTACTTTGCATGTAACATTTAGAAAAAGATGAAACATATGTCATTGCTTTATACGATATTTCAAAAGATTTTCTTCTCTATGCTAGTGATAATGTTTTCCAAAATAATTAAATTCCAGCATTGCCTGGATGTTTCATTTTTTTAAGCTAGAAATTTTTATGTATGTATTTATTTTTATTATACTTTAAGTTCTAGAGTACATGTGCACAACGTGCAGGTTTGATACATCGGTATACATGTGCCATGTTTGTTTGCTGCACCCATCAACTCATCATTTACATTAGTTATTTCTCCTAATGCTGTCTCTCCCCCAGCCCCCCACCTCCCGATAGGCCCTGGTGTGTGATGTTCCCCGCCTTGTGTCCAAGTGATCTCATTGTTCAGTTTCCACCTATGAGTGAGAACATGCGGTGTTTGGTTTTCTGTCCTTGAGATAGTTTGCTGGGAATGATGGTTTCTAGCTTCATCCATGTCCCTGCAAAGGATATGAACTCATCCTTTTTTATGACTGTATAATATATGTGCCACATTTTCTTAATCCAGTCTATCATTGATGGACATTTGGGTTGGTTCCAAGTCTTTGCTATTGTGAATAGTGCTGCAATAAACATATGTGTGTGTGTGTCTTTATAGTAGCATGGTTTATAATCCTTTGGGTATATACCCAGTAATGGGATTGCTGGGTCAAATGGTAATTCTAGTTCTAGATCCTTGAGAAATTGCCACACTGTCTTCCACAATGGTTGAACTAATTTACACTCCCACCAACAGTGTAAAAGCATTCCTATTTCTCCACATCCTCTCCAGCATCTGTTGTTTCCTGACTTTTTAATGATTGCCTTCTAACTGGCATGAGATGGTATCTCATTGTGGTTTTGATTTGCATTTCTCTGATGATCAGTGATGATGAGCATTTTTTCATATGTTTGTTGGCCATATAAATGTCTTCCTTTGAGAAGTGTCTGTTCATATCCTTTGCCCACTTTTTGATGGGGTTGTTTGTTTTTTTTCTTGTAAATTTGTTTGAGTTCTTTGTAGATTCCGGATGTTAGCCCTTTGCCAGGTGAGAAGATTGCAAAAATTTCCTCCTCATTCTGTAGGTTGCCTGTTCACTCTGATGGTCGTTTCTTTTGCTGTGCAGAAGCTCTTTAGTTTAATTAGATCCCATTTGTCAATTTTGGCTTTTGTTGCCATTGCTTTTGGTGTTTTAGTCATTAAGTTCTTGCCCATTCCTGTGTCCTGAATGGTATTGCCTAGGTTTTCTTCTAGAGTTTTTATGGTTTTAGGTCTAACATTTAAGTCTTTAATGCATCTTGAATTACTTTTTATGTAAGGTGTAAGGAAGGGATTCAGTTTCAGCTTTCTACATATGGCTAGCCAGTTTTCCCAGCACCATTTATTAAATAAATAGGGAATCCTTCCCCATTTCTTGTTTTTGTCAGGTTTGTCAAAGATCAGATGGTTGTAGATGTGTGGTGTTATTTCTGGGGGCTCTGTTCTGTTCCATTGGTCTATATCTCTGTTTTGGTAGCAGTACCATGCTGTTTTGGTTACTGTAGCCTTGTAGTATACTTTGAAGTCAGGTAGCATGATGCCTCCAGCTTTGTTCTTTTGGCTTAGGATTGACTTGGCAATGTGGGCTCTTTTTTGGTTCCATATGAACTTTAAAGTAGTTTTTTCCAATTCTGTGAAGTCATTGGTAGCTTGATGGGGATGGCATTTAATCTATAAATTACTTTGGGCAGTATGGCCATTTTCACAATATTGATTCTTCCAATCCATGAGCATGGAATATTCTTCCATTTATTTGTGTCCTCTTTTAGTTCGTTGAGCAGTGGTTTGTAGTTCTCCTTGAAGAGGTCCTTCACATCCCTTGTAAGTTGGATTCCTAGGTATTTTATTCTTTGTAGCAATTGTGAATGGGAGTTCACTCATGATTTGGCTTTGTTGGTCTGTTATTAGTGTATAGAAATGCTTGTGATTTTTGCACATTGATTTTTGCATCCTGAGACTTTGATGAAGTTGCTTATCAGCTTAAGGAGATTTTGGGCTGAGATGATGGGGTTTTCTAAATATACGATCATGTCATCTGCAAACAGGGACAATTTGACTTCCTCATTTCCTAACTGAATACCCTTTATTTCTTTGTCTTTCCTGATTGCCCTGGCCAGAACTTCCAACCCTATGTTGAACAGGAGTGGTGAGAGAGAACATCCTTGTCTGGTGCCAGTTTTCAAAGGGAATGCTTCCAGTTTTTGCCCATTTAGTATGATATTGGCTGTGGGTTTGTCATAAATAGCTCTTATTATTTCAAGATACATTCCATCGATACCTAGTTTATTGAGAGTTTTTAACATCAAGGGCTGTTGAATTTTGTTAAAGGACGTTTCTGCATTTATTGAGATAATCATGTGGTTTTTGTCATTGGTTCTGTTTATGTGATGGATTACAGTGATTGATTTGCATATGTTGAACCAGCCTTGCATCCCAGATGAAGCTGACTTGATTGTGGTGGATAAGCTTTTTGATGTGCTGCTGGATTCAGTTTGCCAGTATTTTATTGAGGATTTTCACATCAATGTTCATCAGGGATATTGATCTAAAATTCTCTTTTTTTGTTGTGTCTCTGGCAGGCTTTGGTATCAGGATGATGTTGGCCTCATAAAATGAGTTAGAGAGGATTCCCTCTTTTTCTGTTGATTGGAATAGTTTCAAAAGGAATGGTATCAGCTCGTCTTTGTACCTTTGGTAGAATTTGGCTATGAATCCGTCTGGTCCTGGACTTTTTTTGGTTGGTAGCTATTAATTATTGCCTCAATTTCAGAGCCTGTTATTGGTCTATTCAGAGATTCAACTTCTTCCTGGTTTAGTCTTGGGAGGGTGTATGTATCAAGGAATTTATCCATTTTTTTTTCTAGATTTTCTAGTTTTTTTGCATAGAGGTGTTTATAGTATTCTCTGATGGTAGTTTGTATTTCTGTGGGGATTGGTGGTGATATCCCCTTTATCATTTTTTATTGCATCTATTTGATTCTTCTCTCTTTTCTTCTTTATTAGTTTTTCTAGCTGTCTATCAATTTTGTTGATCTTTTCAAAAAACCAGCTCCTGGATTCATTGATTTTTTTGAAGGCTTTTTTATGTCTCTCTGTATCTCTTTCAGTTCTGCTCTGATCTTAGTTATTTCTTCCTTTCTGCTAGCTTTTGAATGTGTTTCCTCTTGCTTCTCTAGTTCTTTTAATTCTGATGTTAGGGTGTCGATCTTAGATCTTTCCTGCTTTCTCTTGTGGGCATTTATTGCTATAAATTTCCCTCTACAAGCTGCTTTAAATGTGTCCCAGAGATTCTGGTACATTGTGTCTTTGTTCTCATTGGTTTCAAAGAACATCTTTATTTCTGCCTTCATTTGATTATTTATCCAGTCGTCATTCAGGAGCAAGTTGTTCAGTTTCCATGTAGTTGTGCAGTTTTGAATGAGTTCTTAATCCTGAGTTCTAATTTGATTGCACTGTGGTCTGAGAGACAGTTTGTTGTGATTTCTGTTCTTGTAGATTTGCTGAGGAGTGCTTTACTTCCAATTATGTGGTCAATTTTAGAATAAATGCGATGTGGTACTGAGAAGAATGTATATTCTGTTTATTTGGGGTGGAGAGTTCTGTAGATGTCTATTAGGTCTGCTTGTTGCAGAGCTGAGTTCAGGTCCTGGATATCCTTGTTAACCTTCTGTCTAGTTGATCTGTCTAATGTTGACAGTGGGGTGTTAAAGTCTCCCATTATTATTGTGTGGGAATCTAAGTCTCTTTTTAGGTCTCTAAGGACTTGCTTTATGAATCTGAGTGCTCCTGTATTGGGTGCATATATATTTAGGATAGTTAGCTCTTCTTGTTGAATTGATTCCTTTACCATTATGTAATGGCCTTCTTTGTCTGTTTTGATCTTTGTTGGTTTAAAGTCTGTTTTATCAGAGACTAGGATTGCAACACCTGCTTTTTTTTTCTTTCCATTTGCTTGGTAGATCTTCCTCCATCCCTTTATTTGGAGCCTATGTGCGTCTTTGCACGTGAGATGGGTCTCAATACAGCACACTGATGCGTCTTGACTCTTTATCCAACTTGCCGGTCTGTATCTTTTAATTGGAACATTTAGCCCATTTACATTTAAGGTTAATATTGTTATGTGTGAATTTGATCCTCTCATTATAATGTTCACTGCTTATTTTGCCCATTAATTGATGTAGTTTCTTCATAGCATCGATAGTCTTTACAATTTACATGTTTTTGCAGTGGCTAGTACTGGTTGTTTCTTTCCATGTTTAGTGCTTCCTTCAGGAGCTCTTGTAGGGCAGGCCTGGTGGTGACAAAATCTCTCAGCATTTGCTTGTCTGTAAAGGATTTTATTTCTCCTTCACTTATGAAGCTTAGTTTGGCTGGATCTGAAATTCTGGGTTGAAAATTCTTTGCTTTGAGAATGTTGAATATTGGCCTCCACTCTCTTCTGGCTTGCTTGGTTTTTGCTGAGAGATCCGTTGTTAGTATGCTGGGCTTCCCTTTGTGGGTAACTCAACCTTTCTCTCTGGCTGCCCTTAACACTTTTTCCTTCATTTCAACTTTGGTGAATCTGACAATTATGTGTCTTGGGGTTGCTCTTCTCGAGGAGTATCTTTGTGGTGTTCTCTGTATTTCCTGAATTTGAATGTTGGCCTGCCTTGCTAGGTTGGGGAAGTTCTCCTGTATAATATCCTGAAGAATGTTTTCCAACTTGGTTCCATTCTCCCCATCACTTTCAGGTACACCAATCAAATGTAGATTTGATCTTTTCACATAATCCCATATTTCTTGGAGGCTTTGATCATTTCTTTTTACTCTTTTTTCTCTAACCTCGTCTTCACATTTTATTTCATTGATTTGATCTTCAATCACTGATACCCTTTATTCCACTTGATCAAATCGGCTACTGAAGCTTGTGCATGTGTCACGAAGTTCTCATGCCATGGTTTTCAGCTCCATCAGGTCTTTTAAGGTCTTCTCCACACTGTTTATTCTAGTTAGCCATTCGTCTAATCTTTCTTTTTTCAAGGTTTTTACCTTCCTTGCTATGGGTTCTAACATCCTCCTTTAGCTCAGAGAAGTTTGTTATTACCGGCCTTCTGAAGCCTACTTCTGTCAACTCGTCAAAGTCGTTCTCCATCCAGCTTTGTTCCATTGCTGGCGAGGAGCTGCGATCCTTTGGAGGAGAACAGGCCCTCTGATTTTTAGAATTTTCAGCTTTTCTGCTCTGGTTTCTCCCCATCTTTGTGGTTTTATCTGCCTTTGGTCTTTGATGTTGGTGAGCTACAGATGGGGTTTTGGTGTAGATGACCTTTTTGTTGATGTTGATGCTATTCCTTTCTGTTTGTTAGTTTTCCTTCTAACAATCAGCTCCCTCAGCTGCAGGTTTGTTGGAGATTGCTGGAGTTCCACTCCAGACCCTGTTTGCCTGGGTGTCACCAGCGGAGGCTGCAGAACAGCAAATATTGTTGCCTGATCCTTCCTCTGGAAACTTCGTCCCAGAGGGGCAACCGCCTAGTGAGGTGTCTGTTGGCACCTATTGGGAGATGTCTCCCAGTTAGGCTACACAGGAGACAGGGACCAACTTGAGGAGGTAGTCTGTCCATTCTCAGAGCTCAGACGCCGTGCTGGGAGAACCACTGCTCTCTTCAGAGCTGTCAGACAGGGACGTTTAAATCTGCAGAAGTTGTCTGCTGCCTTTTGTTCAGCTATGTCCTGCCCACAGAGGTGGAGTCTAGAGGCAGTGGACCTTGTTGATCTGTGGTGGGCTCCGCCCAGTTCAAGCTTCCCGGTCGCTTTGTTTATCTACTCAAGCCTCAGCAATGGTGGATACCCCTCCCCTAGCCAGGCTACCACCTCGCAGATTGATCTCAGACTGCTGTGCTAGCAGTGAGCAAGGCTCCGTGGGTGTGGAACCCTCCGAGGCAGGCATGGGAGAGAATTACCTTGTCTGCTGGTTGCTAAGACCTTGGGAAAAGCACAGTATTTGGGCAGAAGTGCCTCATTTTTCCAGGTAGTCTGCCATGGCTTCCCATGGCTAGGAAAGGGAAATCCCCAGACCCCTTGTGCTTCCTGGGTGAGGCGACGCCTTGCCCTGCCTGCTTCAGCTCGCCCTCTGTGGGCTGCACCCACTGTCCAACCAGTCCCAATGAGATGAACCAGGTACCTCAGTTGGAAATGCAGAAATCACCTGTCTTCTGCGTTGATCACATTGGGAGCTGTAGACCAGAGCTGTTCCTATTTGGCCATTTTGGAATGCCTTAAGCTAGAAATTTATTCTATTTTTCTTTTGAAAAAAATATATTTTTTGAGACAGAGTCTGCTCAGTCTCCCAGGCTGGAGTGCAGTGGCATAATCTCAGCTCACTGCAATCTCTGCCTTTTGGGTTCAAGCAATTCTGGTGCCTCAGCCTCCCAAGTAGCTGGGATTAGAGACATGTGCCACCACGCCCAGCTGATTTTTGTATTTTTAGTAGAAATGGGGTTTTACCATGTTGTTCAGGCTGGTCTCGAACTCCTGACCTCAAGTGATCCGCCTGCTTTGGCCTCCCAAAGTGCTGGGATTACAGGTGTGAGCCACCACACCGGGCCTGAAAAATATCTTTTCCGATACCAGTCTTATGGAGTCTGTTTCAACAATAGTTTTATATTATATTGTAGTTATATAGTTAAGATATTTTGAAAGCTAAAAATTGTATCTTACTGCAACAGCATGAATTTATTTAGGTAGCTATTGCTTTCATTCTATAATTAACAATGCTTTAATAAATACCATAAGGAGAAAGCAGAAAAAAGTTTGATGAGACTGGGACATTTCCACTGTTAGGTTAAAGGAATAATAATCAGTTGAAAGTGAATTTAGGCCAGGTACAGTGGCTCACGCCTGTAATCCCAGCACTTTGGGAGGCTGAGGCGGGTGGATCACTTGAGGTCAGGAGTTCGAGACCAGCCTGGTCAATATGGTGAAACCCTTTCTCTACTGAAAATACAAAAATTAACTGGGCATGTGGCATGTGCCTGTAGTCTTAGCTACTTGGGAGGCTGAGGCAGGAGAATCACTTGAACCTGGGAGGTGGAGGTTGCAGTGAGCCAAGATCGTACCACTGCCCTCCAGCCTGGGCGTCACAGCGAGACTCTGTCTCAGAAAAAAAAAAAAGGAAGTGAATTTGGCAAAGTCTGCAATGCTTCTAATTAAAGTAATAATAGGATAGGGAGTTAAAGGTAGTGCTTTGTCAACACAGCAGATAAATCAATTATATTTTTGAGAAAGTAGTTACTACAAAGTTAAGTCAAATTTGTTCAGAGCAGGCCAGGTTGACAGTGATAGTAGACTGGGCTCAGTTCCTTGTGTTTGTTTTACTCACTTCATTATATATACTTCCTCATATTCCAGATAAATATAGACAACATAGTCTGTATCAAATTGCCAGAAATTAACATGGTGAAAATTATTCTATGCATTGATCTGTTTCTGAGAAATTAAATGATCACTAAAGAATTATTTAAAATATATCTGAACTAATCTTTTAATTAATTGGAACCTTAATAATCATGACTGATAATAGTGATCAGTGATTGAACCTTTATTATTTACCAGCTAATATAGTAGGCCCATAAATAGGTTATATCATTTGTAGTCACAATAACCATATACATTATATATTTTATCTAGTGCTACTACCCATATTTTATAGCAGTCAAGGTTCAGATAATCATAACATGCCCAACATCTTACTAACAGTGAGTTATCCAAACAGGAACAATCTCAAGTTTATATTCAAAGCCCATGTTCTTTTGCTTAATATTTCCCTGTCTCTCCTAAATATATTTTCAGCAATATGATTGTGAATTTCCTGTCATGTTTTCTACCTGACCATGAGCCTTTAGCATCTGCACTTATCTTCCTTTTTGAACATCTAACATTGTGTTCTGTTGGTCATTGTTAAAAATCTATTATTTCTTCTTTTGTTCTGGGAGCTTAGAAACCTTAAGTATTGTATTTGAAATATTTGTTTCTAAAATTCTTATTGAAGCTTTATTTTCTGACAAATACAACTGGGCTTTTCTTCTTTTTTTATTTTTAGTTTTTTAAAATTCTTTGACCTAGCTTGAGCAGTAGTGGCAAACTGATGTCTGAGAACACATTGTAAGACCAAGTGCTTGTAAATAATAGAGGATAATATTGAGTTGAATGCATGCCAGAACCTTCTACTCCTCGCTAAAAGTCTGTTTTGAGCAGAATATGTGGAGATTTAAAGAGATTCCATCTTTTTGAAAACTTCAGTTTCTGGAAGCAATTTATGTATTCTTAATGGCTTTGCAACCTGTATCTCAAAAGAGCCTATTGCCAGTAACCTTAGTATTATTGAACTGTAATGTATGCAGTGTCTTTGTGTTTTATAAAAAAGATTAAAAAAAATCATAAGCTTCTTCAGAAAGTTTATACTTTACATTTGGGTTCAGCTCAGTGCAACACAATAGAGAGCATGCAGAGAATGCCAAGTTAGTGTTACAGTTAATATATCTTGGAAGATGGGTGAAATTTTGGAAGTACCTTAGAGAAGAAACAGCTATAGTCCTCATTTAATAATCCTCAGGGCAATATGTAGGGTGGACTAGGAAGTTACTTGGTGATATACAACATGCTTTGCATGCTAAGCTGTTAGCTGATTCAGTTATTAAAACAACTGCCAATTTGAAGTAAATAATAGAATAGATTTATGGAAAAAACTAACATGTTATTTGGTTAAATTTTCAGGATTTTTTCTTCTGTGTATGTGCCTGTGTAAATGAAAGTTGTAGTCATATAGCCTGTTATTAAGGATTCTTCTGAGAGAAAATTATCAATATTTATTGTGCATGTAGTTTACATATGTCACTTAATTTCATTTAATTCTCACAATCTTCTTTTAAAATCAGCAGGGTGGGCCTTAATGTACAGATAATGAAACTAAAGCTTAAAGAGATGTATTAGTTTTTGTAAGGTCACATATTAATT
The DNA here is from genome assembly GCF_000001405.40 of Homo sapiens. NCBI lineage: Eukaryota > Metazoa > Chordata > Mammalia > Primates > Hominidae > Homo > Homo sapiens. The sequence goes on from NC_000002.12 coordinate 154,847,826, forward strand.
ACTGGTGGAGCTGGGATTCAGTGTTTGATGTTAGGTGCATCTGGCATTAAAACCGATGCTTTACCCTCTCTGCAACTGGCCTCTAGGGCTGATATGACTTACTTACTGTGGACACCAGAATATCAGCTAGCATTGTCCTATAGAATCTCTTCACTTCAGATCCTTATAGTGATACCAAAAGGCTTTGTTATTCAGGAAAGTAGTTAGAAATCTGGATGCCACACTAGAAATGAACAGTGTACAATTTACTTAATAACAACTCAAATATATATACACATATACATATACCACCTATATATATTTGTACAAATAATATTAATTTTTAATTCTATGTTTTGGTGTAATATGCTTCACTAAGGAAGTCATTAGATAGTAAAGTTATTTGTTAAGAGCTTAGGTTTGGGAATCAGTATGAGTTCTGGACTTAGCTTTGCTGTTTATTCTCTGTTACTTGAAGTTTCAAGCTCTATCATTCTCCTGGAAGTATGAAAATAATAAAATCTTATTTACAGTTTTGCTGTGATGAGATAATGAGATAAAATATATAAAACCTATATAGCACACTATTTGGCACATTATTACTCAATATGTAATTAATATCACCACTATTATTTTTATGTTTATAATTAGCAATTTTAACCAACAGTCACATTAGCAAATATTTCTTTTTCCCGTCCAGTAGGAAGATGATTCATTCATTATTTTAATTCTTAAAAGTTCACTCATCAATTGGTTTCCCATACTTTTTCCACATGTAATAGCAGCTACAATAAATATCACTAATATTTATTAAGACATTGCTAAACACATTGCATACAATATCTCATAAAATTATTCCAATTATCCTAGAATATAAGTACTATTCTTAATATAATTTTCAAGATTAGAAAAACGGAGGTTCAGAGAGGCAAAGCACCATTCCAAAGGTAAACAGCATAGGTGGTAGAGCTGGGATGCGGCCCCAGGGTCGTCTGACACCACAGTACTTACTGCAGGGAGTTGTGCAGAGTGCCTCTGGTGTTCATCCCTGAAGAAAGGTTCATTTCTTTCATCACTTGCTTTGATTTTTATTGTGGCAAATCTGGTCCCCTTGACCACAGAATCACAGACTTGATGCTTTTGTAACCAAAAGTTGACACTTTAATTTGAATATTCACTAATTATACTACTAGTGATAAACTCTCTTTTGTTTCTTCTTTTGCCTACACAGTACTACTTGATAGAGAGATGAGATTAACAGCATGAATCCTCAAGCCTGATTTCTTATGTTCAATTTCCAGCTGCATCACCTCTATGTGATGCTACTATCTTGTATCCCTCTGTGACTCAGTTTCCACCTCTAGAAAATAGGAAGGGGGATAACAGTCTCTTCCTCGAAGAGTTGTGAGGATTAAAGACAACTTGTAAATAGTGCTTAGAGAGATACTTGACATATAATCCTATAGAGATATTATTACTACATGACTTAACTGAAAGGGATTTGCTCTTCTGTTTTTTGTTTTGTTTTGTTTTGTTTTGTGTTTTTGCTTTTGTTTGATGTACGTGTGATAAAACACAGCCACAGCTACCATTACAGGAGAACGCTCTTTTGCTCTCTCTCCTGTCTCTTTTTTCTCTGTCTGGGTCTGATTCTCTCTATCCCTCTATCTTTCCTCCTTCCCTTTCTTCTCTCCCCCAATCTCCCGCAAACACATCTATATTGGGTAAGGTTTAGATAAAGCGTCCATGTTCAGAAGTTATTGATTGTGTGATATTTTCTGTGTCACAGCATTCAGACATTTCCCTTGGCCTGTGGTTATATTGTTTTTAACCATATTGTGCCCCCTTTGTGTGAGTGACACATCCACCATCCCCGGCTAGCAGAAACAATGGAAAATAACTGAGTTAGAGATATCCTGAAAGTTTAATTAAGGACTTGTCAAATAACAACTCACTTTGTCATTTTCACTTTAAAACCTTCCACAGATCTGTTCTTTGAATGAATGTTTAATTCAGTTAAAAGGATGGACTTAGTTCAGTTTAGAGGCAGAATCAGGAAAGGAAAATGTCAAAAATAAAAAGGTTAGACTATGTTGCTTCTACCATTTTAAATGGACATACTGATACTGGAATAAATTACACTAAACAATAATATATACCCTTTTAAATCTGTGAATATTGCAATGCAATGTACAGAATAAATCTTTTTTTTTTTTTTTTTTTTTTTTTTTTTTTTTTTTACAAAATGTTTTTTATCTAAGGATTCAAAAGTCCCAGCTATTTCCAGTAGCAGCATCTGTTGCTTTGCCAGTTTCCACAGAGATGAGCTCGTGTTGATTTTCACCACATTTGTTCAAGTCTGGAATCTGGTTAAAACATGCAAACAGTTGTGTTGCTGGCTAAGAGGTGCAATCTCATAGTACCCTTTGAATAATAGTAGTCACTTGCATTTATTTTAATTCAAATGGCATTTGCAATTATGAATCTAAGCATGGATTATTTTAAAATAACTAATTAGAATAAGAAATATAAAGCATTCTAATTCTAGAAGGAAGAATGATATGGTACATGCATGTTCTTAGAAACCATAATGATATCTACTTTAAATCTTCTCAGTTGAAATTTGCATTTTATTTTTTCATCACCATTTTGGGATAACTTTTGCAAAAAGAAGTACTCTCTCAATTATATCTTATCTTAGTTCATTGTCTAAGATGCAGATTGGCAAACATAGACATTTTTCTGTTATCCAATTTATAAATCTTCCATATCTTTATCCATATATTGATTGCAAATTCATAATATCCTGAGATGAAACCAGATTTTAAAACTATGATTGTGAATTGGAAATGTCTGCTATTTGGGTACCTACATCTAATGAAAGTAGGACAGGAACAGTAGAAAAACAAACAAAGGTTAAGGTGCTGGCAAATGTTCTTGGCATGATTAACATAGTGTTAACATTGATTTTAGCCATTCTGCTTGCTGCAAGCCTTTTAATACACCCCATATATCCATACTTAGTCTCTTCTGCTATTAGGGGTAGTTAAGTGGAAAATGTTGAGAAACCCTAAAAGTTGGAAATATCAGTAATGTAACTTTTTTCTATACTTTTAAATATTTTGAATGTTTAATTGTCTGACAATTTTAAAAACAAATTACTGGCTGGGCATAATGACTTATACTTGTAATTCCAGCACTTTGGGAGGCTGAGGTGGGAGGATTACTTGAGGCTAGGAATTTGAGAGCAGCCTTTTGTGAGACCCCATCTCTACAAAAAATTGAAAATTAGCCAGACTTGGTGGCTCGTACCTGTCATACCAGCTACTTGGGAGTAACAGGCAAGAAGATTGCTTGAGCCCAGGGGTTTGAGGCTGCAGTGAGCTATGATCCCACCACTGCACTCCAGCCTGAGTGGCAGAACAAGAGCCCATCTGAAAAAAAAAAAATTGTTATCTCATAGCCAGTGACTTTTAAACTTAATTCTTAATATTCTATATTACTAATATGGGATAAATTACAAAGATGTAAAAATTCATCACACATATTAAGGCACCTTACTAATTTTCAGGAAGAACAGGAAATGTAAGTGACTATTATAGAACAATAAATCACTAGTCATTAACAGGCATTACCTAAACACCAAGCAAGGTTCTATGTCTTTTACTTTCAAACTTTCAGTAGGTTTCTAAGAGAAGATATGTTGTTATCTCTAGTTGATAAAGGAGAAAACAGGGTGAGAGAGCTTTAGGTAATTTTCACAAGCTATTTAATAGTGGCATTGACAGCCAGATTCATAAACTTTTAAATTATATTTCAGATGTTGCCTCACTTATGTGAATTTGCTGTGAAAATAAGTAAAGTTAATTTTATCTAGTAAAATAGATTCTCCACCTTCCTTTTCAGTTGAAATCATGCATTGGCATTTCAGTAACAATGATTACAAGTATTTTAATGCCAACAAACATTTGAATACACGTTTCCACTGTAGATGTCATAGCACTTTAAGTACCTTAATAATTGATGGCCAGTTTTCCCAATATTAAAATTTTATAAGATTTTATTTTCCCAATTGTAATGGTAAAAGCAGGGGCAAAATTTTGATTTTTTATGTAATGTTATTTTCGCAATGTGAAAATAAAAAAAAGCCACCAAAATGAAATGGGCTAAGATGGTGATATCATCAAATTTTACTTCAAAATTTACTTTGTGATTGTTAGAAATAATTGAACAGACTTCATAACCTGAATTTACTTTAACTCATTGTAAATATTTATTTATATTAATCAAAGGACAAACTTACAAACTTTCCTTACTTTTTAAGACACTGAATTATATTGAGTACGTAACATTACTTAGGATAATTCTGCCTGACATCAATTTTCAATGATTGAAGTTTTTAAAATTAAAAAAGTGGCTGGGTTCAAGATGAGTCTGAGTAACATGACAAAACCCTGTCTCTACAAAGAAATACAGCTCACTTGGGAGGCTGAGGTGGGAGGATCACCTGATCCCAGGGAGGCTGAGGCTGCAATGAACTGAGATGGTGCCACTGCACCGCAGCCTGGGCGACAGAGTGAGATCTCATCTCGAAAAACATAAAAATAAAAAAGATAGATTGTAAGGCAGTATTATCACTTAGTAAAAATATATTTATAGTATTTTTTCTTAAATTTAAATTAATGTCTTGGATGGGAAAGACACTTAGAATGACAGTGGCTGCTTTTAGGGAGAAAATATAAGGCACTTCCACATTATTTGTTTTACTATTTCTTATCTTAACAATGACATCAGATATTTATTCTTTATTCTAGATACTTTTCTTTATCTTTAAATTTCTCAAAATAAAACCAAGTAAATATATCAGGAAATACATTTTTTATTTTTCCTGATTAAGTGATAATCTATGATTTTTCTTATGAAATACTTAGAGGCTAGAAAGTTATTAGAAAATACAGAATGCTGCTATGTGTGTGTTTACACTTAATGTTTTAAAACTAATTTATTATCTTATATATAAATGTTTCTGGGGCTATTCCTCACGTAAAATTGATTATAAACACGGATATCTGATCATAGTCAGATTTGCACCATTACAGAGTTTAAGTGATAACTGAGTTCATAACTAAAATATTAGAGACATTACGGCAAAGTAAAATAACAACAATTTAAAAAAAAACCCACGCATAGAAATAGGATGATACTTTTTTTCTCTACAGCTTATTAGATCTGTGCTCAAGAAAGGTCAAGAGACTTAACCTCTCTGAGCACTAAATTCCTTATCTTTAAAATAGATGCAAGAATATCTTCTCAACAGGACCATATTGAGGATTAGAATGGAAAAAAAAAAAAAGAGGGAAGAAGAGAGAGAGCACCTAACACAGTGCTAGCCACATGATAGATACTAATTTTCTACATGAGTTTATTTTAAAACTGTCTTGAAAAAACATAGTATATAGTGATAACAACTAATTCTTTGGTAATATATAACAGAATATTCATAAGGCAAGATTTTGGAAGGATTCAAATGTGGCTTCTTATTTATGCATTATATCCTAATTATCTATATGTATTGTATGTCTGATTGCTAGTCAGTTAGAAAAAAGACAGAATATCCCTTCCTTCAAACTATGCCAGGCTTAAAAACAATAGAAATTACTTATAATGGATGGGGGAGAATTGAAATGAATGAAGAAAAACTATCATCACTTATTTAAATTACACTTAATTATTGAGGGGATGGTTTTTAAAATTCATCATTATCTTACATTTTAATAGCCTTTAATAGAAGTCTATTAGACTTCTATTAAAGTAGAGAAATTGGTGAATTTTACTATTTACAGAAAATTGTGTCTTTTGACTAATATGAGACAGAAACTTGATATATGGTTTTAATTTATTCCTGTACTTCCAGTCTTCACAAAATGAATATTCACAAGTTGACTGATTTGATTGTAACACAATCGAAATAAATGATTTATGAAGAGAACAAAATTGAGTAAATTAGAATACCATGAGGCAAATGATATCCAAGGAACATAATTGATAAACTGAAAAAATTTACATCTGATAGCCAGCAACCAGTTCCAGATATTCCTAGAGCAGGAATGGAACTTGATACATCACATGGCCCAGAACACTGATTTTAGCATATGGATTTCTGAAACTTGAGCAAAAGCTTATTCTGGCCTTATAGATGCAAAAGAATAGAACCAGCACAATGACTTTTCTTTTTCTAGCATATAAATATTACCACCTTTTATTCGTTTAACAAATACTTGGGAGAGTTACCTTTTGTCCTCCCACCCCCCATAGCAATCCTTTGCTACGTAAAGACAAAAAGGTAAGCGTCCATTAATTGAGTCACTTATTGTAGATATTATATGACAAATTTTACATTTCTGTATATGTTATTTCATGGTCACAGCAGTGTTGTGAGACAGGTATTGTTGACAGTGCTTTACTCTGCAGAAGAATAAAGTGATACTCAGTTAAATATATTTTCTAAGTTTACACAATATTAAAGTTTAGATTCAAAATCAGATTTGTTTTATTTATGACACTGTTTCTTAAACAATGAAAAATTGTTACATAATTTTTCCACTTATCTCCTTATAGGGACATGTATGTTCTGAGATTATTCTATGCTACTTTTGCTTTTGGTTTGTGGTTAATATTTAGGTAATGATGCATTATCCTTCAAACATGAATAGTATCATCACCCTGTGTTTTTTGTTGAAAGAAAGTATATGTATCAAAGCTATTAACTTAGAGTACAACTTTTAATCTATTCTATTATTCGGGCTTCAGATAAACAGTCCAAAACCTAGATAAGAAAGTGAAATGAATTATTTAGGCCAAACCGGCTTTACATGTGCTTCCACTATGCATAATTTATCAAGAATTTTCTCTTTTCTTGTAGGGATGACTTGTCAAGCTCGAACATCATATACTGAAGATGAAGTTCTTTGGGGTCATCGTTTTTTTCCTGTAATTTCCTTAGAAGAGGGATTCTTTAAAGTTGATTACTCCCAGTTCCATGCAACATTTGAAGTCCCCACCCCACCTTACAGTGTGAAAGAGCAGGAGGAAATGCTTCTCATGTCGTCCCCTTTAATAGCACCAGCCATAACTAACAGCAAAGAAAGACATAATTCTGTGGAATGCTTAGATGGACTAGATGATATTACTACAAAACTACCATCTAAGCTGCAGAAAATTACTGGAAGAGAAGACTTTCCCAAAAAACTCTTGAGGATGAGTTCTACAACTTCAGAAAAAGCCTACAGCTTGGGAGACTTGCCCATGAAACTTCAACGAATAAGTTCAGTTCCGGGCAACTCAGAAGAAAAACTGGTATCTAAAACCACCAAGATGTTATCTGATCCCATGAGCCAGTCTGTGGCTGATTTGCCACCAAAGCTTCAAAAGATGGCTGGAGGAGCAGCTAGGATGGAAGGGAACCTTCCAGCCAAATTAAGAAAAATGAACTCTGATCGCTTCACATAACAAAGCACTCCCTTAGGCATTATTTAATGTTTGATTTAGTAATAGTCCAATATTTGGCGATGAGGTAATTCTCCCTAAGGAATCTGAAAGTATATTTTCCTCCCAGTTCTACAAGCATATTTGAGAACCCTTCCTTTCCCAAGTATTGCGAATGTGCAGAAAGCAACAGTTACGGAGGGAGGACATCATAAGGAAGTTATTAACGGGCATGTATTATCACATCAAGCATGCAATAATGTGCAAATTTTGCATTTAGTTTTATGGCATGATTTATATATGGCATATTTATATTGTATATTCTGGAAAAAAAATATATATATATATTTAAAGGGGAGATACTCTCCCTGACATTTCTAACATATGTATTAAGCCAAACATGAGTGAATAGCTTTCAGGGCGATAAAACTAAATATATGTCTGTGTGTGTGTGTGTATGTATACACACATATACATATATATATACACATACATACACATACATACATACATACATATATATCTGATAAAATTGTGATGTTTTGTTCAAAGTTGTAGTTCTTGTGCATGTTTACTTTATTAGAGTAGGAAGGCTACTGGCATTAATTATTAATACCAAATATTTTAGCCTTAAATTTTTGTCATTTTAAAATCTGATTTAATGTTTTCTGCTGTTTAAGGTCTTGGGAGGCTTTCAATTGTATTTTATATGAGAGAATCACACAAGTTTGTGCTATCTATGGCCCTGCAAAAATATAACCATTACATGTTTAAATTGTAAATTTTAGAGCATACCAGTACTCAGTATAGCATTGAACATTTCTTATGATTTTTAAAAGTTGCTAGTACTGGGGAGAAATAATTGTTGATTAATTTGAGAATTATTCCTTTCCTAGACTAATTAAAATCTGGAAATCTGTTTTGTATATGATCTAATACAAAGATGAGCTCTGAACAAACACTGAATCATGTTAATAGACAGTAGCCAAGTTATATTGAATATATCAGAATCTGTGTGAAGTTACACAATTAATTGTCCCTGTTTCAAACTGAGTAAATTGGAAACATTTTCTTTCTTTTTCTGGAAATTTTGTCCATTTTAAAAACCAATCATTTTAAGAAGACATGACAATGCAATGAAACAGATGATAAATATTTATGCTTAAAATATGTATGTCTAATTGAGTCTCTTTTTTATTCTGTTTTCTTGTTTATGGCATTTGTTGTAACAGGATAGACTTTTTCCTCACCTAGGAAACCTATCCCATGCCTGTCACTTATAGTTCAGGAGGAAGTTTTTGCACAGACCAGAGAGAAATTAAAATTAGATGATAAATTGAAGATATCTTACACACAGTTTTTTGGTGAACACTGATTTTATTGGTGTCTTAGATCCCTAGTCTACCCAAATAATTTTAACAGTACTGTTTTTTCTAATCCTGAAGTCTGATATTTATGACTCATTAGCAGGAATCAAAACTAGTGATCAGTAGAACACTTTCAAAATAAAAATTTGGAATGCAGACTTTTATGAAAATTTAAAAGTGCTCCTTAACAGAATATCATGGGTTTTCCTATAAAACTTCTTTAAGTATTGTAATTCCAGTCTGCCCCAACTTTAAAAAAAATTCTTATTAATATGTCAGTCATTAATTGCTAGTTTGGGCTCTCATTATTTCCTGTTTTTTAACAATTTTGTGATAATTTTATTATTGGCAAATTAATACATCAACACTTAAATCATTGACTATAATAATACCTTCTGGCTACCTCTGTATCAACCAAATTCTGTAGGTGCAAACATATACCAGGGAATTCTTACTGGCAAAATGATCAATCTGGAGTGTGCATCCACTGTGAATGGAGCAAATTGCCCTATACCCATTGATAACCTAGCTTTCTTAGTTTGTAGATGTAGGAAACAAAATAGTGACAGAGAGAGAAGGGGGTCCACAGGGCATGGTATATTTATCAGCAGTGGAAAAAAAGTGCATAGATCATTTAGTCCAAGAACTTAAAACTAAATAGAGCCATAATTTACTTTGGAGAGTCATTTTAATTTGTCTTTGGTACCAAGGAGAAGACGGAACCAAAAACAAACTCTCCAAGTATATTCACACATTCAACAAAATTTTTGCATGCCTTCTATGTCGTAGGCATTTTTAGTTCCTGGGGATTTGGACATGGCTAAGTCAGAGAAGGCCATTGCTCACCATGAACACTGTATACCAGAAGGAGAGTGGGGAGGAGACAAAAAACAAATAAGACCACTTCAGACAATCAAAGTATCAGTTAAGAGAATGAAAACAGGCCTGACTCAGTGGCTCACGCCTGTAATCCCAGTACTTTGGGAGGCGGAGGTTGGGGGATCACCTGAGGTCAGGAGATCGAGACCAGCCTGGACAACATGGTGAAAACCCGTCTCTACTAAAAATACAAAAATTAACTGGGCATGGTGGCAGGCACCTGTAATCCCAGCTACTGGGGAAGCTGAGGCAGGAGAATCGTTTGAACCTGGGAGGCGGAGGTTGCAGTGAGCCAAGATTCTGCCACTGCACTCCAGCCTGGGTGACAGTGCGAGACTCCATCTCAACATCAAAAAAAAAAAAAAAAAAAAAAAAAAAAAAAAAAAAAAAAAGAATAAAAACAGGGTAACATAATGCAAAGTAACTGTGTGGAATAAAAATTGATTATTTTAGAAAATGTGACTGGCTTAGGACGGGGATAATATGTGAACAGAAATCTATCTCATGAGAAAGTGCTACTGTTGTCAAAATTACCTTATCTGAGTGAATGGTATTTTTTTTATCTTTTCCACACATGCGTGGGAAAGGTATGATTTCTGCATGTAATTGCAGTTTAACCCTTATTTCTAGGTTGATCATAGGTCCCAGTTTACCCAGGAAAATTCCAGTTTATACCTGTTGTACCTGTGTAATTATTGGTAGCACTCCCTTTCACTCTTACAATGTCTTGGTTTGGATGATATATGGTGAAGTTTTTGTTGAAACTAAATTATGAAGTCTGATATATTTGGATAAAAATAAAGAATTGCTTTTCTTCTCCTTTTGCTGATTTTTTGACACATCATTCTAAGCAAAATCATCTCAGCTTCGTATATTTCAGCCTGAAGTACTTCTTACCAAAGTTGTTTCATGTAACATTTGTTCAATATGTTCGTGACATGTCTCTCAGTAATGAAAAGTTATGCATTTTATTGAATGAATAAAAACCTAACCTCTGCTATTTCCATTTCTGGAAGTTGTAAGAGCTCACATTAAAGACAGTAAAAGTCAATTTAAGCCAAGATCATTTTCAGCCCACCAATGTCATGGCTATTGGAAAGGAAAACCTAATGTGATCATTGAACTATCATAACAAGTGGAAACTAGAACTTTTTTATAGCATTTTCATGATATAGGTCCTGTTATAGTAAGATATTTCATTCTATTTATCAAAATGGTGTAAATAAAAGAAACACAATTATTTTGGTAATGCTTATCTTCAGTTTAAACATTTATTCTTTTCAGAAATATGTAAATACCCTTTTGTAAATATATACAAAATGAAAAATAAGGATATTTTACCATTAATTATTTCTGAAAGATTCTTATGCTGTTTTAAATTTATCTATATATGGCTTAAAATATTATGAAAAGAGCCTTTTTGTCAGGACAAAATGGCTCATAATACAGTATTTCTACTGGAGGAAGACTGGGGTCATCATGGGAAAGCTGGCTTACATTCTATTAGTTCTTACATTCTTCAGAATTTATGTTTGAATTACATTGTACATATTTAAATTAGCATCAACCTAATTCCATTTTCTGGCATGAAATCTATAATTATTTAAGTGTAAAAGGTCATTTAGTTTCAAAAATATAAACTCATGTATTCAATACTGCAAGTTCAATTTTATAAAAAACGGTATTAAACTTTTGAAACATGATTGGGTTTAATTTTTAGTGTTCTCATCCTTTTTGCACTCTTCACCACTTAATTATTCACATTTCTTGACTCAGTTTGTTTATCATAAGACTCTTAATTCCTGAAGGGCAATCATTAAATTCATCACAAGTCATTCCTTGATAATTCCTTTTATTTTGGCTGCTTATTGGTAAGATGCTTCAGCAATACCAAACGTCAGCTTAATAATGCAGATACTCAGGACCTGCGTTTCTTGGAGGAAGCTTCATGGTTATCCTACCCCTTGCTGAACCAGTGTTTTAAAAGCTACAGTAAGTAAAGCAGACAAACGCATAGTTTTTCTAATTTTGTTTAAGTATCTAATCATCTTTTAATAAAGCATTCAGTTGCTTCACCTGTGTTTCACAGAAAAATGTGTTCTTAATCTTGGATCAGATGAGTTTTGTGATGTGTAATGTGCCCAACTCCCAGGCACCTCAGAGAATTAATTTAGAAAAGCTAAGTCGCTACAGCTTCTGACCTAGTAGATTTCCATACAGATGGTCTTTTATCATTTAATAGAATTGTTAGGGTTGTTCCTCAAAATATATTTTGTTGTTGTTGTTGTTGTTTACAATTTTCTTCTGGACTTTCTTGTTGCTTAAAGGTCTATTATATGTCTGAATGCTGTGTTTTCAGAGAGGAAGATGTTTGCATATTCTCTTTAACTTAGATATTCTCCAGTTTCACTGTGATTTCTTTGGGATTTTTAAATCTACTTGTAAAGATTTTTTGAAATTATAGCTGTTTCAGAATATCTGGGCTTTTTCTGACCAATAGATGCTATAGAGCACAAATACTGTAGGACCTACTATATTCTCCTTGTTTACTAAGAATCAAATCCATGCTTCTATTTATCCTCTCCCAGCTCTGAATGTGTCAATCATGTACATGGTGACTTGCACACATTATTTATATATTAGAAACAACTCTGCATGGTAAAGATCATCCCTATTTTACACTTAAAGAAACTTATTCTCAGAGAGGCTGTTTAGCGGGTTTTTAATTAAATCCACAAACATGGGGTATAGTCTCTGCTCCCTGGAAGTATAAAGAATAAAGAGAATCCCTTTTAAAAACAACTGCATATTCCAGAAAATTTGGATGCATGAACATAAATATTCAATGACTGTGTGCAATGGCTTCTAACCTAACAGAATGTCTTGTGCAATGGAGTTTGCATTTTTCCTAGCTGTCATTTGGAGAAATGGTGGATGGAAAATGAGAGTCGTGTAAGGAGTAGCTGTGGTCACAATTGTGTGTTGGTTAGAGGAGGAAAAAAAAAGTAGGTAGGAAGCAAGGACAAATAAAAATGAAGAAAATGTGGAGGAAAGTAGACACTTGAAGTGTTGCACAAAGAAATACCTAAGTGGCAAAGAGGTAAAAATGAAAAAGACAAGCTAAAAAATCAAGAGTCCAGTGGATACTTGAAAAAATACTGCAAATAAGCAGAAAGTTTCTTCAAACCCAGGTACCTCAGACCCAGAGGTTTTTTTAAAAAATGATACAGTAACATTTTGCTGTATTTACCTCATGTACTTATTAAATAAATAAAGTGTCATAGAAATCTAAAACAGGCTGGGCATGGTGGCCCACCTGTAGTCTCAGCACTTTGGGAGGCCAAGGCAGGAGGATTGCTTGAGCCCAGGGGTTCAAGACCAGCCTGGGCAACAGTGGCACTTCATCTCTACTAAAAATAAGTTTAAAAAAATTAGCTGGGCATAGTGGCATGTGCCTATAATCTTAGCTACTAGGGAGACTGAGGTGGGAGGATCCCTTGAGCCCAGGAGTTTGGGGGTTGTAATGAGTTATGATCTACGACACTGCACTCCAGCCTGGGTGACAGAGTAAGACCTTGTCTCAAAAGAAGAGAAAGAATAAAAAGAAAAAGAAAGAAACCTAAAACAGCCACTTTGTCTCTTCCAAATCCTACACTATTCCATTTCTCTTCCTCATCGGAAGCCATCACTACCTAGAAATGAGTGTGTATATTTCCTGTGCTGGTGTGTATATGTATACTGCATATGCATAAATTTATATGTAATGCATACTATAACAATCTGATATTTTACTTGAATATATTTCTATACAAATGTATATAAATATGTGATATTTATATATAAAATGTATTTGTTATATAAATATGTTTCTATAAAATATGTTATATATAACATGCTATATAAATATATATTTAATATAAATATAAATATTCATAGATACACACCTACTGATAAATTTGTTTTTATTTTTTCTTTCTTCTCTTGGATTTTGTGTTTTCTTTCTTTGCCTTTTTTAAAAAAAATTTCCATGTCTATTATTGTAGTAACCTTCAAAATTTAAGCTTGAGTACAGCAACTAATGAAACCAAAGCTAATTAACATCTCCACCTTCCTTTCAAACAAAAGAAGGATCTTACAGCGTATTAAATTCAGCCACATCTTCCCCTGTTTTCTCTGCTATTTTTGCATAGTATTACACGTGTTTTTAATGTTCTAACAAAAAACTGTTATTTTTAAGTCAATGCATCTGTATAATTGGCTATATATTTCCTGATTTCTTCATTCACCATAGCTTCTTGCATCCTACTCATTCATCCTTTCTTTTTTTTCTTAATTAAGTATGTATTTTAACAGTTATTTAGGCAAACATCTGTGATCATCTTAAATGTTTTTTTCTTTTTTTACATTTTTTTTCTGGACATTCTTGTTGATTAAAAGTATATTATATGTCTAATTGACGTGTTTTCAGGAAGGAAAATATTTTCATATTCTTCAGTTTCACTATGATTTCATTTTTCAGGTAACAAAAATTTCTTCACATGGGATATCCTGGATAAGATATCCATAATTGCATGATGCTTAGGTTTGAGGTTTCAGCTTCTCCCAGAATACCTTCTGCTCTCTCCATAGCCCCGTGCACAGACAAGCTTCCTTGTCACTGGGCCTTAGGTGGAAAGTTTGGTTCCTGATAAGGTTTTACACAGCCCTAGACTTATTCAGGGTCTTCAGTTCCAGTTTCCTGTTTAACAGGTATCGAAGTTGCACCTTTCCCATTATAGGTGTTAAAATCTCAGTCCCCAAATTAGAACCTATCTCCATGTCTAATTCTCCTGAATTTGCACACAGACACACACACACACACTCACATACATGGAAGAAACTCCTGAATTTTAAAGACATTGTTTCACATGTCTTATATATATATACATAAATATATACACACACACACACGCTTTCATATATACATGTGCATATATCTGTGTGTGTGTATATATATATATATATAGAGTAGAAAGTCACACATACACATAAAGAGTCATGAAGTTTTTACAAGGCTTGTTACAATAAAAACAGCCCCCACTCTCTACCTACTCTCTCCTCACTCTCTCCCCAGAGACAAAGACTTTCAACCCTTTTAAATGACTCTATTGTTATTTACATGCAAATTTCTAATCATTCTTTTATTGCTTCCCTTGGTTTTCCATTTTGGGGTATTATTTGTTTGTCTTCCACTGTGGTAAATTATTTAGTTCTATTTTAACCCTTGCTATCCACTATACGTCTTCAACATCCACTCTAGTATAGTTAGATTTTCAACACTATATTTTAAGAGTTTAATTATCAATGTCCTCATTAAGTTCTATCACAACTGAGCCCCATGTATTTTGATTATTTTTCTCACCCTTTGTAGCTTCTTCCTCCTATAATTGATAACTGACTTCTTTGTTCATTTATGTATGTATCACTAATACAGTCATAGAATCTTCCCCAATTATGTAAATGATTTCCTGTTAATTTGTCAGACTCATTAGATACCCTACAAGTTTCATCTTCTTGAAGAAGCCTCCACCAAGACGTTCTGAGACGTTTCCTATGAAGGAAAGATCTTTTGACGCCATACAGGTGTTGTCTTGGGATCTTCCTTTGTAATCATCCTGGAGAGTCCATTCACCTTGTTCTTGGTGTAGAAACCCTGTTTCATGGAACATGTTTTCTTCTTTCTGTGTTTACTTTGTTTTGTTTTGATAAAATTTGTTTTGATAAAACATATTTTCCAGGGGTTTCTGAGAAAGAAATAGTGATAAACTCTTAGAGGCCTTGCACATATTTAAATAAATCTTTCCCTTGTAATTAATTGTTTGGTCTCTTGTACAAATTATTTTTTCTTCTGAATTTCAGTGACATTGTTCTTTTTTTTTCTAGTTTCCAGTGTTGCTATTGAGATATCTAATACCATTCTGAATTATAATAATCTTTCATATGAAAGTAATTTTTATCCATAAGGCTCTTAAGATATTCTATTCTTCCCCAGTGTTCTAAAATTTTCAAATGATCTACCTTCGTAGGGGCCCACTTAATCCCTTTTGCTGGGCCTTTGCAATCTGTATCCTCATGGTCCTCTCCATTTTCCTCTATTCTTTCTTTCTGGAATTGTTATTGTTTGGCTGTTGGAGTTCTTGGACTGATTCTCTAACCCCTTCATATTTCCTCTTTTATCTTTTTGCATTTTTTTCTGTACTTTATTGGGGATTTTCTTGACTTTATCCTTTACGATTTTTATTTCTGTCAATTTATTTCACTTTAGGTCATTTATCTTCCAGATTTTCATTTCTGCTATACTAGTTTTAATTTTCAAGTACTTTTTCCTGTTCTATAAACATTTCCTTTTTTACGAGTCCTTGTGTTGTTTCATGAATGCATAATTTTAGCTCTCTCAAATTATTAAAGATAATGTGTTTTAAATGTTTTTTTCTCTCTGCATTGTACCTATTTCTAATGTCTTTTTATATGTATGATTTGGGATCTATATTTCCTATTAGATTGTTTTCTCATATATCTGATGATTGTTAGGTCTTTTCTCATACTTAAAAATGGAGCAATTGCAATGATCAATGAAGTTCTGTTCAAATGTATGGGGTAAATCAAATTGATCTTCACTGGTGTGTGATGTGGTTCAGCTATTTGCCTGAGCTTAGTGTATCCTTCAGCTTGTTATTTAAGGTCAGTAACTGTACCCAGGTAAGACTCTTTCAATCTGCTCTTGCAGTCTGTGAAGGGTCGGTACCTGGCCACCAGAGTTCACAGGGAAAAGAGCGTTCAAGAATGACTATCTCTATCCTATTTTCAGAACAGTATCCTCATTCTCAAGACTGTTTAGGCTTCTGATTCTAGATACAGTTTTCTGCCAGGATATGAGAGAAGCAATCAACAAGTTGAGTTGATTAGAAGGGGATCTGCTCCTTAAATGGGCTTTCAGTGAGTTTCTTGCTATCATCTCCTTTTCTGACCTCTTCCCTCTGCTGTGCTTTAATATCCCTCAACTACTGTCTTAGTAATTTCAGAAATCAATCAATAAATAAATGCTTATATTTAAGTTATTTTGAGTCTTAATTAACACACTTAATGTATTTAATTAGACTATAGTATCACCGTTGCTATAAATTACCACAAATTTAGCAGCTTAAATAACACAAATGTCCGATCTTACAGTTCTGAAGCTAGAAGTCTGACATTGCTCTCACTGAGCGAAAGACAATGTCTTACCAGGGCTGAGTTTCTTCTGGAGGCTCTAGAAGAGAATTCATTTCCATGTCTTTTCCAATTTCTAGAGCCCATCGACATTCTTTGGCTTGTTGTCCTTTCCCCATCATCAAAGCCAGCAAAATGACCTCCCTCTTTGTCTTTATTCTATAGTGACATCTAGCTCTGACTCTCTTCTACATTATTCTTACAACCTTGGGAGACATTGCAATTACACTGGGGTAGGTAATCCAAGATAATCTCACCATCTCATAATCTCAAGTTCCTTGGCCTAATCACATCTTCCAGTCCCCTTTGCAAAGTAAAGTCATATATTCACAGGTTCCAGATATCAAGATACAGACTTCTTTGGACGTCATTATTCTGCCTACCTCACTAACCTTTCTTTCTTCTTCCCTTTTATAAAAACAGAATATAAGAATAATTTTTTAAAGTATGTTCTTTCACTAATCTAAGTATATTTATGAAAATTTTAAAATAAGAGAAGACACTTATTACTATTAATGACATTTTTCCTTGTGAAGAAATATATTTACCCGTACATTGTTTAATTATTCTCTTGGAAATCTATTTCTGTCACAGTCTGTGAACAAATGTCTGGCCAGGTTTTATTTTATACTTCTTCGTGGAAGATAAAACAAAACAAAACAAAACAAAACAAAACAAAACAAAACGGATTAAAATTAACATCTATAACTTCAATATTCTGAATCTAAGAATGTATCTCAAGTCCACTTTCTTTTGGTTCACTACCCTACCCTATAGTCTTAAAACAATATCAAGGTTAGATTTAAGTTTCAGTAGATCAACTTGAGAGCTGGTGTCAGTATTTATTGGGAGAAAAATATTACTGTGCCACACAGACACATAAAATGTATAAAAACTTGTGGCCTAGCAATTAATTTTAGAAATGAATTCCAATGTTTTTTAACCAGGTGATCAATGAAATGTATATAGCGACTTTGGATGGGCCCATGAGAGTGAACACTTTGATCAGTTTTTAAGTTTCAGTGGCTGACTCAATGAGAAGAATGAGTCATAAAATGTCATTTAGATGCAGGTTTAATTTTGTAAATGAAAGCTGCTAGCATATCCTCTACCAGTATCCCATTGTCATATAGAGGGCTGTGAAGTCTGATGAGATTTATGGCTTTCTTTCTTAGTAAAAATTCCTAAATAATTATTGTTTTTTGTTACCAACTTTTATCTCCCACCCACCTCACAGCTTAAGTGATTTCTTAGGTTCATAAAGCAAGCTATATTGAGGGGAAAAGTGGGCAAAGAATAAAACAATTATATTATAGTCCCATATTTTTGTATTATTATACAGGTTTCACTTCACTGGCTCTTGCTTTCCCTATGTATAACATTTATAGTGTGAAATTATATTCCATTACTTTTCATACTGAGATTCATATTTCACATTATCTACAACTTTCTTAAAATATCTCGATTTGGACATGTGAATAAAATCTCTCATCTAACTATAGTTTTTTAGTTAAATATAAGAATCTTGTATAGAATGCCAGCCATTAGAGTTGATGTTCAACTGTAAAGAAGATATTAAGTGGAAGATATTTGGAAAAGTGAGATCTACACTATGCTAGAAATATGTAGTGATTAAAAAGTAAAGATTAATCAGAAAACTTAGGCTTGTTAATTGATAAAATTCTTATTGATGGCTAAGTCATAGGAAAAGATTGCTTTGGAAATTATGCATCATAGTTAGCCTTAAAGAGGGTAGTTTCCCCTCCAGATGAGAACTAAAATGTTGGAATAGAAGAAAAGCTGTGAATGAGCACTATTCAAACCAATATTCTATTATCCAGAGCCAAAAAGAGATTAGTCACCTTTTATGTATTTATTTGTTATTTTTCCCCAATACTTTATGATTACTTTTGAAACTGTTAAGCATGGCTTTTTATAGGGGAAGCTCTTACTTGAGAATTATGGAAGCAGTTTGTATCATGTATAGAATCTGCCCCATCTCTTGCCAATTTACACAAACTTCATTAGTATTCATGTACAGAAGTTTCAAATCTCCACAGAGACCCATCAACTTAAAAGCATTAAGTCAACAATCACTTGTTTGGCCAATTTTGTGTCATGTTGTAGGTGTTATTGTATGCACGAGGGTTATAGAAAATAATAAAGGGAAAAAATTATAAACTTATTCAAAATGACTGACAATTAAAATACAGTAAATGTTTTGAAACATAACTGCACAGCATGCTATGGGAAAACTGAATAAGGTGATTTAAGTTATGCATGATATGGAATTGCGTGGGGCTAAAAAAGATGGGAAGATCTTGAAGAGTATTTTATAGTAAAGAATACTGGAATTGCATTTTAGAAGACTTGAATAAATTACTTAGACAATGAAAAGGAGGAAAAGTAAAGAAAGAAGCCTATACAGAATTTGGAAACAATATTTGTCAGGCCTGAGCCCAAGCCAAGCCATTGCATCCCCTGTGTCTTGCACATATACGCCCAGATGGCCTGAAGTAACTGAAGAACCACAAAAGAAGTGAATATGCCCTGCCCCGCCTTAAATGACATTCCACCACAAAAAAAGTGAAAATGGCCTGTTCCCGCCTTAACTGATGACATTCCACCACAAAAAAAGTGAAAATGGCCTGTTCCTGCCTTAACTGATGACATTGTCTTGTGAAATTCCTTCTCCTGGCTCATCCTGTCTCAAAAGCTCCCCCACTGAGCACCTTGTGACCCCCCCACTCTGCCCGCCAGAGAACAACTCCCCTTCGACTGTAATTTTCCTTTATTTACCCAAATCCTATAAAACGGCCCCACCCTTATCTCCCTTCCCTGACTCTCTTTTCGGACTCAGCCCACCTGCACCCAAGTGATTAAAAGCTTTTATTGCTCACACAAAGCCTGTTTGGTGGTCTCCTCACATGGACACGCATGAAATTTGGTGCCATGACTCGGATCAGGGGACCTCCCTTGGGAGATCAATCCCCTGTCCTCCTGTTCTTTGCTCCATGAAAAAGATCCACCTACGACCTCAGGTCCTCAGACCCACCAGCCCAAGGAACATTTCACCAATTTTAAATCGGGTAAGCGGCCTCTTTTTACTCTCTTCTCCAGCCTTCCTCACTATCCCTCAACCTCTTTCTCCTTTCAATCTTGGCGCCACTCTTCAATCTCTCCCTTATCTTAATTTCAATTCCTTTCATTTTCTGGTAGAGACAAAGGAGACACGTTTTATCCATGGACCCAAAACTCCGGCGCCGGTCACGGACTAGGGAAGGCAGCCTTCCCTTGGTGTTTAATCATTGCAGGGATGCCGCTTTGATTATTCCCCCATGTTTCAGAGGTGTCAGACCACACAGGGACGCCTGCCTTGGTCCTTCACCCTTAGTGGCAAATCCCGCTTTTCTGGGAAAGGGGCAAGTACCCCAACCCCTTCTCTCCGTGTCTCTACCCCTTCTCTGCCTTTCTGGGGGTCAAGAAACCCCCAACCCCTTCTCCTTCACCCTGAGTGGCAAGTCCAACTTTTCTGGGGGAGGGTCAAGTATCCCAACCTCCTATCTCTGTACCCTGATCCCTTATTTCCACACCCCAACCTCTTATATCTCTGCGCCCTGATCCCTTATTTCTGCACCCCAACCTCTTATATCTCTGCACCCCGATCCCTTATTTCCATGCCCCGACCTCGTATCTCTGTGCCCCGACCTCTTCTCTGCTTTTCTGGAGGGCAAGAACCCCCCAACCCCTTCTCTGTGTCTCTACTCTTTTCTCTGGGCTTGCCTCCTTCACTATGGGCAAGCTTCCACCTTCCATTCCTCCTTCTTCTCCCTTAGCCTGTGTTCTTAAGAACTTAAAACCTCTTCAACCCTCACCTGACCTAAAATCTAAGCATCTTATTTTCTTCTGCAATGCCGCTTGACCCCAATACAAACTTGACAGTAGTTCCAAATAGCCGGAAAACAGCACTTTCAATTTTTCCATCCTACAAGATCTAAATAATTCTTGTCGTAAAATGGGCAAATGATCTGACGTGCCTGACGTCCAGGCATTCTTTTACACATTGGTCCCTCTCTAGTCTCTGTTCCGAATGCAACTCATCCCAAATCTTCCATTTTTCCCTCCCACCTGTCCCCTCAGTCCCAACCCCAAGCGTCGCTGAGTCTTTCTAATCTTCCTTTTCTACAGACCCATCTGACCTCTCCCCTCCTCCCCAGGCTGCTCCTCGCCAGGCCAAGCTAGGTCCCAATTCTTCCTCAGCCTCTGCTCCTCCACCCTATAATCCTTTTATCACCTGCCCTCCTCACACCCAGTCCGGCTTACAGTTTTGTTCCATGACTAGCCCTCCCCCACCTGCCCAGCAATTTACTCTTAAAAAGGTGGTTGGAGTTAAGGCATAGTCAAGGTTAATGCTCCTTTTTCTTTATCCCAAATCAGGTAGCGTTTGGGCTCTTTTTCATCAAATATAAAAATCCAGCCCAGTTCATGACTTGTTTGGCAGCAACCCTGAGATACTTTACAGCCCTAGACCCTAAAATGTCAAAAGGCCGTCTTATTCTCAAAATACATTTTATTACCCAATCTGCTCCCGACATTAAATGAAACTCCAAAAATTAAATTCTGGCTCTCAAACCCCACAACAGGATTTAATTAACCTCGCCTTCAAGGTGTACAATAATAGAAAAAAGTTGCAATTCCTTGCCTCCACTGTGAGACAAACCCCAGCCACATCTCCAGCACACAAGAACTTCCAAACGCCTGAACCACAGCAGCCAGGCGTTCCTCCAGAACCTCCTCCCCCAGGAGCTTGCTACAAGTGCCAGAAATCTGACCACCAGGCCAAGGAATGCCTGCAGCCCAGGATTCCTCCTAAGCCGTGTCCCATCTGTGCGGGACCCCACTGGAAATCGGACTGTTCAACTCACCTGGCAGCCACTCCCAGAGCCCCTGGATCTCTGGCCCAACGCTGTGTGACTGACTCCTTTTCGGCTTAGCGGCTGAAGACTGACTCTGCCTGATCACCTCGGAAGCCCCGTAGACCATCACAGACGCCAAGCTTTAGGTAACTCTCACAGTGGAAGGTAAGTCCTTCCCCTTCTTAATCAATACGGAGGCTACCCACTCCACATTAACTTATTTTCAAGGGCCTGTTTCCCTTGCCTCCATAACTGTTGTGGCTATTGACAGCCAGGCTTCTAAACCTCTTAAAACTCCCCAACTCTGGTGCCAACTTAGACAATACTCTTTTAAGCACTCCTTTTAGTTATCCCCACCTGCCCAGTTCCCTTATTAGGCCGAGACACTTTAACTAAATTATCTGCTTCCCTGACTATTCCTGGATTACAGCTGCATCTCATTGCTGCCCTTCTTCCCAATCCAAAGCCTCCTTTGCGTCCTCCTCTTGTATTCCCCCACCTTAACCCACAAGTGTAAGATACCTCTACTCCCTCCTTGGCGACTGATCATGCACCCCTTACCATCTCATTAAAACCTAATCACCCTTATCCCGCTCAATGCCAATATCCCATCCCACAGCATGCTTTGAAAAGATTAAAGCCTGTTATCACTTGCCTGCTACAGCATGGCCTTTTAAAGCCTATAAACTCTCCTTACAATTCCCCCATTTTACCTGTCCTAAAACCAGACAAGCCTTACAAGTTAGTTCTGGATCTATCCCTTATCAACCAAATTGTTTTGCCTATCCACCCCATGGTGCCAAACCCATATACTCTCCTATCCTCAATACCTCCCTCCACAACCCATTATTCTGTTGTGGATCTCAAACATGCTTTCTTTACTATTCCTTCACACCCATCATCCCAGCCTCTCTTCGCTTTCACTTGGACTGACCCTGACACCCATCAGGCTCAGCAAATTACCTGGGCTGTACTGCCGCAAAGCTTCACAGACAGCCCCCATTACTTCAATCAAGCCCAAATTTCTTCCTTATCTGTTACCTATCTCAGCATAATTCTCATAAAAACACACGTGCTCTCCCTGCTGATCCTGTCCAATTAATCTCCCAAACCTCAATCCCTTACAAAACAACAACTCCTTTCCTTCCTAGGCATGGTTAGTGCAGTTGGAATTCTTACACAAGAACCGGGACCACGCCCTGTAGCCTTTTTATCCATACAACTTGACCTTACTGTTTTGCCTAGCCCTCAAGTCTGTGTGCAGCGGCCGCCGCCGCCCTAATACTTTTAGAGGCCCTTAAAATCACAAACTATGCTCAACTCACTCTCTACAGTTCTCGTAACTTCCAAAATCTATTTTCTTCCTCACACCTGACACATATATTTTCTGCTCCCCGGCTCCTTCAGCTGTACTCACTCTTTGTTGAGTCTCCCACAGTTGCCATTGTTCCTGGCCCGGACTTCAATCCGGCCTCCCACTTTATTCCTGATACCACACCTGACCCCCATGACTGCATCTCTCTGATCCACCTGACATTCACCCCATTTCCCCATATTTCCTTCTTTCCCATTCCTCACCCTGATCACGCTTGATTTATTGATGGCCGTTCCACCAGGCCTAATCACCACACACCAGCAAAGGCAGGCTATGCTATAGTACAAGCCACTAGCCCGCCTCTTAGAACCTCTCATTTTCTTTCCATCGTGGAAATCTATCCTCAAGGAAATAACTTCGCAGTGTTCCATCTGCTATTCTACTACTCCTCAGGGATTATTCATGCCCCCTCCCTTCCCTACACATCAAGCTCAAGGATTTGCACCCACCCAGGACTGGCAAATTAGCTTTACTCAACATGCCCCAAGTCAGATAACTAAAACACCTTAGTCTAGGTAGACACTTTCACTGGATAGGTACAGGCCTTTCCTACAGGGTCTGAGAAGGCCACCACAGTCATTTCTTCCCTTCTGTCAGACATAATTCCTCAGTTTAGCCTTCCCACATCTATACAGTCTGATAACAGACCAACCTTTATTAGTCAAATCAGCCAAGCAGTTTTTCAGGCTCTTAGTATTCAGTGAAACCTTTATATCCCTTACGGTCCTCCGTCTTCAGGAAAAGTAGAACGGACTAAAGATCTTTTAAAAACACACCTTACCAAGCTCAGCCACCAACTGAAAAAGGACTGGACAATACTTTTACCACTTTCCCTTCTCAGAAGTCAGACCTGTCCTCAGAATACTACAGGGTACAGCCCATTTGAGCTCCCATATAGATGCTCCTTTTTATTAGGCCCAAGTCTCATTCCAGACACCAGACCAACTTAGACTGTGCCCCAAAATAACTTGTCATCCCTACTATTTTCTGTCTAGTCATACTCCTATTCTCCGTTCTCAACTACTTATAAATGCCCTACTCTTGTTTACACTGCCGGTTTACACTGTTTCTTCATGCCATCACAGCTGATATCTCTTGGTGCTATCCCCAAACCACCACTCTTAATTCCCTCTTAGAGTGGGTAGATGATCTTGGCTGGCAGGGCACCCTCCAATACTTCCACCCTGATGAAGTTCTATTCTTTACTTTTATACTCACTCTTATTCTCATTCCCATTCTTATACCACCCTTTACCTCTCCCCAGCTATCTCCACCACACTATCAACCTTACCCATTCTCTCCCAGCTGCTTCTAATCCCTCCTTAGCAAACAACTGCTGGCTTTGCATTTCCCTTTCTTCCAGTGCCTACATAGCTGTCCCCACCTTACAGACAGACCGGGCAACATCTCCTGTCTCCTTACACCTCCGAACTTCCTTTAACAGCCCTCACCTTTACCCTCCTGAAGAACTCATTTACTTTCTAGACAGGTCCAGCAAAACCTCCCCAGACATTTCACATCAGCCAGCTGCCGCCCTCCTCCACATTTATTTGAAAAACCTTTCTCCTTATATTAACTCTACTCCCCCCATATTTGGACCTCTCACAACACAAACTACTATTCCTGTGGCCGCTCCTTTATGTATCTCTCGGCAAAGACCCACCGGAATTCCCCTAGGTAATATTTCACCTTCTCGATGTTCCTTTACTCTCCATCTCCAAAGCCCAACTACACACATCACTGAAACAATTGGAGTCTTCCAGCTCCATATTATAGACAAGCCCTCTATCAATACTGACAAACTCAAAAATGTTAGCAGTAATTATTGCTTAGGAAGACACTTACCCTATATTTCACTCCATCCTTGGCTACCTTCCCCTTGCTCGTCAGACTCTCCTCCCAGGCCCTCCTCTTGTTTACTTACACCCAGCCCCCAAAATAACAGTGAAAGGTTGCTCGTAGATACTCAACGTTTTCTCATACACCATGAAAATCGAACCTCCTCCTCTATGCAGTTAGCCCATCAGTCCCCATTACAACCTTTGACAGCTGCCGCCCTAGCTGGATCCCTAGGAGTCTGGGTACAAGACACCCCTTTCAGCACTCCTTCTCACCCTTTTAGTTTACATCTCCAGTTTTGCCTCACACAAGGTCTCTTCTTCCTCTGTGGATCCTCTACCTACATGTGTCTACCTGCTAATTGGACAGGCACATGCACACTAGTATTCCTTACCCCCAAAATTCAATTTGCAAATGGGACCAAAGAGCTCCCTGTTCCCCTTATGACACTGACACCACAAAAAAGAGTTATTCCACTAATTCCCTTGATGGTCGGTTTAGGACTTTCTGCCTCCACTATTGCTCTCAGTACTGGAATAGCAGGCATTTCAACCTCTGTCACGACCTTCCGTAGCCCGTCTAATGACTTCTCTGCTAGCATCACAGACATATCACAAACTTTATCAGTCCTCCAGGCCCAAGTTGACTCTTTAGCTGCAGTTGTCCTCCAAAACCGCCGAGGCCTTGGACTCAGTATATTGTTAAATGAAGAGTGTTGTTTTTACCTAAATCAATCTGGCTTGGTGTATGAGAACATAAAAAAACTCAAGGATAGAACCCAAAAACTTGCCAACCAAGCAAGTAATTATGCTGAATCCCCTTGGGCACTCTCTAATTGGATGTCCTGGGTCCTCCCAATTCTTAGTCCTTTAATACCTATTTTTCTCCTTCTTTTATTTGGACCTTGTATCTTCCATTTAGTTTCTCAATTCATCCAAAACCGTATCCAGGCTATCACCAATCATTCTATATGACAAATGTTTCTTCTAACAACCCCACAATATCACCCCTTACCACAAGATCTCCCTTCAGCTGAATCTCTCCGACTCTAGGTTCCCATGCCACGCCTAATCCCGCTTGAAGCAGCCCTGAGAAACATCGCCCATTCTCTCTCTCTATACCCCCCAAAAATTTTCGCCGCCCCAACACTTCAACACTATTTTGTTTTATTTTTCTTATTACTATAAGGAGGCAGGAATGTCAGGCCTCTGAGCCCAAGCCAAGCCATCGCATCCCCTGTGACTTGCACATATACGCCCAGATGGCCTGAAGTAACTGAAGAACCACAAAAGAAGTGAATATGCCCTGCCCCACCTTAACTGATGACATTCCACCACAAAAAAAGTGAAAATGGCCTGTTCTTGCCTTAACTGATGACATTGTCTTGTGAAATTCCTTCTCCTGGCTCATCCTGTCTCAAAAGCTCCCCCACTGAGCACCTTGTGACCCCCCACTCTGCCCGCCAGAGAACAACTCCCCTTCGACTGTAATTTTCCTTTATTTACCCAAATCCTATAAAACGGCCCCACCCTTATCTCCCTTCCCGGACTCTCTTTTCAGACTCAGCCCGCCTGCACCCAGGTGATTAAAAGCTTTTATTGCTCACACAAAGCCTGTTTGGTGGTCTCTTCACAGGGACGCTCATGAAAATATTATGTTTTGCAAATAAAAGTTTAGGAAGACTAGAACATGGGGTGTGAGAAGTGGGTCAATATGGGACATACATAGAGAAACAAGTAGGGACATTGACAATGTGTACTATAACCTACAGGAAATAGTTGGATTTTTATGTTCAAAGCAACTTTTTAAGATGTTAAAGGGATGGTAGGACCAGATACGCATTTTAGAAAATTTACTCCACCAACGTATATTAAAGATAAATGAACTCTATAATTTTTTATTTCATTGGAACCAATGTATTTTTCATTAAACTTTATAGTTCACATTTTTCAGAAAAATAATTTTAGAAGCTTAAGAATGTTACATGAAAAGATGAATAATATCAAATACACAATGAAGGTAAGGAAAAAAGCAAAAATAATTTTAAATCCAAAAGATAATATAGATGCTGTTACCAAATGTAATATTTCACTCTTGTCCTATGAGATTTAGAAAAGCGTGGGGATCATGTTTGTGGTTCCCCTTATCTGAAAAGGAGAAAGCCAACAATTGCCCAAAGGTCAACCAAACATTTTAGTACTTTTTAGTTCTCATTAGACTTTCACAACAATGTCTCTTTCCTCAACCATTGCAATTAAGCACTCCATCTGAACCATTCCCGAAAGGAAGCTGTTTTGAAAGTTTATTTTCTTGGCGCGGGCACGGTAGCTCACTCCTGTAATCCTAACACTTTGGGAGGCTGGAGTGGATGGATCACCTGAGGTCAGGAGTTCGAGACCAGCCTGTCTAATGTGGTAAAACCCCGTCTCTACTAAACATACAAAAATTAGCCAGACTTATTGGCGCATGCCTGTAATCCCAGCTACTCAGGAGGCTGAGGCAAGAGAATCTCTTGAACCTGGGGGTGGAAATTGCACTCCAGCCTGGGCATTGCACTCCAGCCTGGGCAACAAGAGCAAAACTCCATCAAAACAAAACAAAAAAAAGTTTGTTTTCTCTCTTTGTTTCCTCTTGTTGCATTTAAGAGTATGAAGTTTGTTTAAATAAAGGCAGTAAAATCCAAACTGAAAAAGCAAGTATGAGAAATATAACAATATTGATATGCAGATGCTTGCTAACCTAGAGGTGATTTTGTATTAGATATGTTTCAGATGAATAATTCCTAGATGAAATTTTTAAAAAGAAAATAAATGCCCAGTGGTGGTACACAGTCTAGAGCCATCTCAAGTAATATTATGGATGGTCCATTATTTGAAATGTAATAAGAGTCATTTGTTAAATCACTAGAATTTAAAATATATCCAACAAAGGGCATTTTTTCAGTAATTATTTGCATTAAAATAAATAATTGGTTGTTAGGATATATCACTCTAGGCAATAAATGTTCATACATTAAACCTCCCCTTTAACAGAGGAGTTCTGAATAGTGACTGATCAATATAGACAACACGTGGACTGATATTCATACATAAGCCATCTGCATTTACATTTGCGGAACTTGTATGAACTTTGATGAACTACAAATCAGAGTTGCTGCTTTACAATTTTAATTTACAGCTAATTCCCAAATCTAGAAAAAGAGAAATGAAAGCACAGCCAATAACTGGCATTTATGTTGGTGTCCCTAAAATCAAAGGTCATTTTGAAATAACAACAGAAATTGACTACCCTAATCAATATCTGGCTTGAAGGACGCAGATGCAATATATCCTCTGAAGAGGTTGGTTGAGTTAAACATATCCCAGCTTCCATTTAGTCTTACAATATAACAAATGGAAAATTACACAAATATGGCAGATGTTTTTGAGCTTACTAACACAGGTTTATTTTCAAATATCTCTCAGAACAACTTCTCAAGAGAGTGCTCACTTGGAAGAAATTCATTCCTGGACTTATCTGAGTACCCAGAATGATTACTAGCAGCTGACTGGGCAAAAATCAAAAGGGATGCAGTACTGAGAAGTCTGACAAGAAGAAAAACAAGTCAGCCAAACTCCACCTCAAACCAGTTTTGTGAAAAAATATATAAATTGCCAGATCACTAAACCAAGTACTTGCTTTAATTAGTGTTAGAATCCATGCCTATTCAATGCATAAAAATAACTATAGTTTTACAGTAACAAATGACCTAATACATTTTGGTGTACGTATAATTGTACACATTCTCAGAGAATTTGAAATGTGAAAATTATGCTATCTTTGTTAGGAGAGACACTACATTTATTATTTTAGATGCTTACATGCACATGTATAAATGATTTCAAAATAAATGTGTGATTAGTATAATATGGAAAACAGATAAAATACTCAGATAATTTTTAGCACATCAAGAGAACTACTTTTGTGTTTATTAATGAATGAGCCACTTAGGTCATGGAAAATTTCAGCTGGGTCTTGAGGAGGGAACTAATTGTAATGGAGAAAACTCAGTGCCACTAGTTAGCACCAGGCCTCCATGTAAAACAATTGGGATGTTTCAAACAGTTTCCTTCATGCTGCAGATTGACAGTTTGTCAATAATTATTTTCCATAAGCAGATGACACCTTAATCGCCAAACCATAGAAAGCTTTTTGTTTTTCTTAGCCATCTTCCAATGAGAACTCCCATGCTAGTAAGAATATATTAATATTTCCTACTGAATTACATCAGGTTCTCCTCTTTAACTACGGCACATGGAAACAAATTTCTCAGCTGAAAATGAGTATGTAATTACCGTTACAACCATCCCCCAGAAAATTTTAGATAGGAATCCAGTGAACTCTTACTTAATCTGCATTCCTTTCACATCCAACACAATGGTAGTTCCTAACATAAAATATGCAATATAGTTGCTGAGTGCTATTTTCCTGATAAAGTCTAATTAAAGTGACTCCTTTGGTCTCCCAACTTTGTGTGAGAAATATATGAGCCTACTTATCCTTGAATAATAATTAAGTGATGCACTATAATAATCCTACTACTCAGAAGTAATGTAATCAGGATAAGTAAGAAAAATTTCTTTTCTTATAGCTGTAGGATTGATGGCAATGTGCTTCTTCAAAGCTAGCAAGGGATAGAGAGAGGGACCCCAGTAGGACTGTTGCTATACTTTTATGTATCACATACAAGTAATCTAAATCCCATTGCCTTTGGCACATTCATTTCACTTAAGCAAGCCATAGGTCTTGCTCACACTCAAGAGGAGAGGATTATATAATGGCATTAATCCCAGGAAGTGGGAATCATATGAGAAATTTTTTCTCTCTGGCCTGGAGACTGATAATTTTAAATAGAGTTTAACAATCTGAACATATAGATAAATTCCCAAGATTCTAGGTGAACAGGCAATTGCCAGAATATGTCGTCTGCTACTTTCTCCGTCTTACAAAATATCAAATATGGAGGACTCCACACAAACCTCCTATAACTTATCAATTACATTTTATTTAGTCCTATATAAGTTTCAAAATTTCTAAAATTACTCAAAGCAAAGATACAAACCTATGAGTCAGATCTTACCCATGATGTGAAGTGAGACCTTTATGAAAAATCTGTGTAGTGGTAAGCAGGTGAGAGAATTTTCTATTTGTCCTATTTTCCTTTTCCAATATCAATTACAAATATGTACCTAGTCTATTTACTTGTATATTTATTCATTATTTATTTTACTTCTTTCTCTGCTTTCTAGATCCTCATCCACAAAGGATTCTGAGATAGCTTTTAAATTATAATAAAATTGTAAAATTTAAAGAAAGTTGTTTTTAATATAATTTAGAAATGCTCTTAATAAGAGTATGCCCAAATCTAAATTAAACAGAAATTTATGACATATAAGGTATTACATTTTGTTTTAATTTGGCTGAGAAATTTGGGCTCACTTTACAGATAAAGTGAAATAAGGAACATTGATTTTTTAAATATGAAAAAACTAACAGGAAAGCAATAAAAGTTTAAAAATAATAAAACCACTACAGTATATTGACTATTTGCATTGTATTAGGTAGTATAAGTAATCTAGAGATAATTTAAACTATATGGAGGGATTTGCATCAGTTATATGCAAATACCATTTCATTTTATCTAAGGGACCTGAGCATCTGCAGATTTTATCTGCAGGGGCTCTGAAACTAATACCCCATGGATATTGAGATTGTACACTAGAGAAGCTCAGTCACATTTATACCAATATACATGTAAAAGAGTATTCACAATAGCATTGCACATAATGTAAAGATCCATCTGACTTTTAACAGTAGAAAGGAAAAATAAATCATGATAAATTCATAAAATTAAATGTTGCAATAAATGAAAATAAAGGATCTAGACTGTAGATAACAATGTGGATTTATCTTGCATGCATAATGTGTAAAAGAGAATTTTTTTTCAAATTTATTTTTCACATGCATTTTTCACTAAGGACACCTTGATGGAAACCATAGATGTCTTCAGATTCTGTCAGAAACTGGTTACTGAAATAGCCAGCCTTATGTAGCATTATCCTCTAGTGTCTTTATGGTACATAAAACCTAACAGTCACCCACCCTGGCTATCACCACAATAAAACCTCACAAACTATATTTTGAAAATTTCAACATACTTATTTAGATAACAACTTATAAAATTCATCAGGAAATGTTGTGATATTGCATTTCCCATAAACATAACAAATATAACAAGATGGCAATTTCTGAACATGTTCATGGACTAAATATTAACCTGTTTCCAAAAGCACAGTGTGATTTACATCCAATGTTTTGATTGTTTTGGGTGTTTTCTATGGATTTAGATCATATAGTGTCTTTTTAAAGGGGAATGATTTATCAACAATTTTTTCCTTTAGTAACTTAGGCTTTTTATTTCTCCTTAAAATCTTTTTTTTACAGAAGTAACTCCAGTGTGAATATAAGCCTATGCATACAAATTCATTCAATTACTGGATTCAAAAATTGTTTTCAATCAGTAAGCATGTTTAAAACTGAATTATTATATAAATATATGTCCTTGTGGTAAAGTCAAAGTACACTTAAATCTTAAAAGTACAAATAAAAGAAATGTTTATTTCACTAGGTTTAATTAAAAAAATAGAACAGTCTTTGATGGTGGCCTTCATTTTGGGAGGGTAAAAAAAAGATTACATTTTGTGTGCATATGCATAATACATGTTGGGCATATAGTAATTGTTTAAAAAATATTTCACATTCTGAGATCAGTGTTAAAATTGGATGTTGAAATTTTAATTAGCAATGTTCAATTCAAAAATTCTTATATAAGATAATGTTTTTCATAGTGTATCTCAAAATCAGTATGATCTTTAGATAAAGCTGATGCAGAATAAACTACTTAGACATTTTGACATTAGCATTCCTAAAGCTTTTTGATGAAGCAAAAATAGTGTTATTAATTTGCTGGTACAATTGTATCCATTTCTCTAGGGAATTATGTTTTAGGCAATGCAGCAAGAAGAGTAAAAGCATAAAATTGAAGATGACAACAAGAATGAGTTCAGAGATATAAGTAAAATTCCAATAATGTGGAAGGGAAACTGGTTTGTTACTCAACTGAAATGGAAAACACTTAAACAGAAGTTATATTAAGAAGTGAAATGGTTTACTAATAGAGGCTAGAGGCTGCAATTGCTTTTGAGAATTAAAGCCTTGGGAAGATCAAATGTTTGCCTGTATGTTTTGGACTTCACAGCTTGAGTCATGAAACAGATGAATCCTTTGCTTCAAAAGATGATGTTTTGATTTGACAGTATACATAGAGGAGATTTATGATAAAGTGAAGTAGCAAGATAGAGGAGAAGAAATTATAGAATTGAAATGTACTGCCATCGTCTTTGTAGGATGGAAGGCAAATACTAATAAACTTCTGAAAGTATGAGTCTTCTCTAGTTAATCAGGTTTTAGTTGCCCAAACTCTTTCAGATTTGAATAAGCAGAAAGTTTTTGTTTTGTTTTTATTTTTGTGTTTTGAAGAAACCCACATATGAACAAGCATATGTGATATTTGTCTTCCTGTGCTTGGCTTATATCACTTAATGGCTTCCAGTTTTATCCATACTGCTGCAAATGACAGAATTTCCTTCTTTTTATGGCTGCATAATACTCTTTTGGGTATATACACCACATTATCTATATCCATTCATCCACCGAGGGGCACTTAGGTTGATTCCACATTTTGGCTATTGTCATTAGTGCTGCAATAAATATAGGAGTGTAGATATCTCTTTGATATGTTGATTTCCTTTCTTTTGAATGTATATTTAGTAGTGAAATTACTGAATCATAAGGTCATTCTATTTTAATTTTTTGAGAATCCTCTATACTATTCTCCATAGTGGTTGTACTTATTTACATTCCCATCAATAGTTTACTAGGGTTTTCCATTTTCTATATCCTCACTAGCATCCATAAATATCTTTTTGATAAAAACCATTTTAACTCTCATGAGATGATATCTCATTGTGTGCTTGATTTGCTTTACTCTCATGATTAGTAATGTTGAGCATTTTTAATATGCTCATTGGCCATTTGTGTATTTTCTTTTGTGAAATATCTCTTCAGAACTACTGCTAATTTTAAAGCAGATTATTTATTTTTCTGCTGTTGAGTTGTTTGAGCTCCTTATATATTCCAATTATTAATCCGTTGTCAGCTGAAGAGTTTTGCGAATATAGTCTCCCATTCTGTATGTTGACTCTGCACTTTGTTAATTGTTTCCTTTGCTGTGAAGATCCTTCCTTGATGTAATCCCATTTCTCAATTTTTGCTTTGATTGCCTGTACTTCTGAGGTTTTATATAAGAAATATTCTTGCTCAGACCAAAGTCCTGGAGCTTTGCCCCAGGGTTTCCTTCTGGTAGTTTCATTGTTTCAAGTATTAGATGTAAGTTTTTAATAAATTTTGATTTGAGTTTTGTGTATGGTGAGAGATAGGGTCTAGTTTCATTCCTCTGCATATGCTTATCCAGATTTCCCAGCACAGCCTATTGAAGAGATTGTCCATTTCCCTATGAGTGTTCTTGGTGCCTTTGTGGAAAATTAGTTGGCTGTGAATGCAAGGATTTATATCTGGATTCTCATTTCTATTTCATTGGTTTATTTGTCTGATTTTTATGCCAATATCATGCTGACTTGGTTACTATAACTTTGTAGTATATTTTGAAGTCAAACAGAGTAAAAATTCTAGCTTTGTTCATTTTGTTCAGAAGTGCTTCGGTTATTTGAGATCTTTTGTAGCCCCATATAAATTGTAGGGTTTTGTTTTTCTATTTTTGTGAAGAATGTCATTGCGTTTTGATAAAGATTACATTGAATCTGCAAGCTGCTTTGGGGAGTAATGCCATTTTAACTATTTTATTTCTCCAATTTATGATAATGGAGTATCCTTCCATTTTCTTGTGTCCTCTTTAATTTCTTTCGTCAGTGTTTTATAGTTTTTCTTGTATAGATCTTTCACTTATTTGATAGATTGATTCTTACGAAATTTATATTTTTTGTAGTGATTGTAAATGGGATTATCTTTTTAAATTTGTTTTTTAGGTTGTTCTCTGTTGACATGTAGAAATGTTACTGATGTTTTTAAAAGTTTTATTTTAGGTTCAAGGGTATATGTGTAGGTTTTGTTATATAGGCAAATTGTGTGTCATGAGGGAGTGGTGTACAAATGATTTCATTATCCAGGTAATAAACATAGTGCCCTATCGGTAGTTACTTACCCTCATCCCACCCTCCACTCTGAAGTAAGCCACAGTGTCTGTTTTTCCCTTCTTTGTGTTCATGTGTACTTCCTGTTTAGCTCCCTCTTATAAGTGAGAACACACAGTACTTGGTTTTCTGTTACTGCACTGCTTTGCTTAGGATAATGACCTCCAGCTTCATCCAGGATGCTGCTATGGACATGATCTCATTCTTCATTACAGCTATGTAGTATTCCATGTCACACCTTTCTCTTACTTTAGTCAGAAAAGGCTATCACCAAGTCCTCCTCCTGAGATTTTCAGCATTCTACATTCTTTATGCCATAACTACATTTCTTTTCCTCCAAATTCTTAACTGGATTCTTCTTCCAGTTTCTCTTTCTCTCTCTCTGTTTTCTTTCCCCTTTCCTTCTCTTTATACTCTTTCTTCTCCCTGTTTTTAAACACTTATTTTAGGTTCGGAGTTACCTGTGCAGTTATATAGGTAAATTGTCTGTCATAGGGGTTTGGTGTACAGATTATTTCATCACCCAGGTAAAAAGCATAGTTCCTGACAGATAGTTTTTCGATCCTCACCCTCTTCTCACCCTCCACCTTCAAGTAGGCTCTGGTGTCTGTCGTCCTTTCTTTATGTCCATGCATACTCAATGTTTAACTCCCACTTACAAGTAAGAACATGTGGTATTTGGTTTTCCTGTTCCTGTGTTAGTTTCACTAAGACCATGGCCTTCAACTGCATCAGTGTAGTTGCAAAGAACATGATCTTTTCTTTATTATGGCTGTATAGTGTACTATGGTGTATATGTACCTCATTTTCTTTATCCAGTCCCCTCATCGATGGGCACTACATTGAGTCCATGTCTTTGCTAATCTGAATAGGGCTGTGATGAACATACATGTGCATATGTCTTTATGGTAGAACGATTTATATTCTGTTGGGTATATACCCAATAATGGGATTGCTTGCTCAGTTGGTAGTTCTGTTTTAAGTTATTTGAGTAATCACCAAACCGCTTTCCACAATGACTGAACTAATTTACATATCCACCAACAGTGTATAAGCATTTCTTTTTCTCCATAACCTCACCAACGTCTGTTATTTTTTGACATTTTAACAATAGCCACCTGACTGGTGTGAGATGTTATCTCATTGTAGTTTTGATTTGCATTTCTCTAATGATTATTGCTGTTGAACATCTTTTCATATGCTTGTTGGCCCCATCTATGTCTTCTTTAGACAACTGTCTGTTCATGTTCTTTGCCCACTTTTTAATGGGGTTGCTT
Source organism: Homo sapiens (assembly GCF_000001405.40). NCBI lineage: Eukaryota > Metazoa > Chordata > Mammalia > Primates > Hominidae > Homo > Homo sapiens. The sequence continues at coordinate 154,883,499 of NC_000002.12, forward strand.
TTTGCTTGTAAGTTTAAGTTTCTTATATATTCTAGATATTAGACCTTTGTCAGGTGCATAGTTCGGAAGTATTTTCTCCTATTCTGTAGGTTGTCTTTTTACTCTGTTGATATTTTGTTTTGCTGTGCAGATGCTCTTTAGTTTAATTAGGTGCCATTTATCAATTTTATTTTTGTTGCAATGGTTTTCAGAGTCTTCAACATAAAACCATTGCCAGGGCCTATGTCCAGAATGGTACTTCCTACGTTACCTTCTGGGCTTTATAATTTTAGGATATACATTTAAGCTTTTAATCTGTCTAGAGTTGGATCTTCCCTTTTTTTCATTATTAGTCTAGCTAGTGGTCTATCAATCTTATTTATTCTTTCAAAAATTAATTTCTGGATCCATTGATCTTTTGTATGGTTTTTCATGCCCAATTTCCTTCTGTTCAATTCTGCTTTTGGCTTTTCTTATTTCTCGTCATGTGCTAGCTTTGGCGTTGTTTTGTTTTTCTTTTCTAATTCCTTTCAGTTTGATGTTAGGTTGTTAATTTGGGCTCTTTCTAACTTTTTGATATGTGCATTTGGCACTATAAACTTTCCTCTTAACACTGCTTTAGCCATGTCTCAGAGATTCTAGTATGTTGTATGTTTCTTATCATTATGTATGTTTCAAAGAATTTCTTGATTTTTGCCTTAATTTCAATGATTACTGAAAAGTCATTCAGGAAGAAGTTTTAATTTCTATGTAATTGCATGGTTTTGAGAGCTCTTTTTAGTATTGATTTCTGTTTTTATCACAATGTGGTCTAAGGGTGAGGTTAGTACAATTTCAATTTTTTTGAATTTGCTGAGAATTCCTTTATGATCAATTGTGTGGTCAATTATAGAATATATGCCATATGAAGATGAGAGGAATGTATATTCTGTTATTTTTGGTTTTTGGTTGGAGAGTTCTGTAGTTGTCTATTAAGTCTATTTCGCTAAGCATCAGGTTCAGGGCCCAAATATCTTTGTTAGTATTCCGCCTCAATGATCTGTCTTATACTTTCAGTGGGATATTGAAGTCTCTCACTATTATTGTGTGGTTACCTAAGAACTTGTTTTATGAATCTGGGTGCTCCAGTGTTCACTGCATATATATTTAGGATAATTAAGACTTCTTATTAAATTGAACTTTTTACCATTATGTAATCCCTTATTTGTCTTTTTTGATCATTGTTGGTTTAAAGTCTGTTTTGTCTGAAATGAGAACAGCAACCCCTGCTTTTCTCTGTTTTTCATTTACTTGGTAGATTTTTCTCCATCCCTTAACTTTGAGCCTATGGGTGCCATTGTAAGTGAGATGGGCCTCTTGAAGACAGAATACAGTTGGTTCTTGCTTCTTTATCCAACTTGCTGCCCTGTGGCTTTTAATTAGGTCATTTAGCTCATGTACATTCATGTTCAATATTGATATGTGCAGATTTTATCCTATCATCATATTGTTAGCTGATTATTATGCAGACTTGATTTTATAGTTGTTTATAGTGTCAATGGTCTATGTATTCAACTGTTTTTGTGATGGCTGGAAACAGTCTTTCAATTCTATATTTAGCACTACCTTAAGGACCTTTTGTAAGGCAGGTCTGATGGTAATGAATTTTCTTAGCATTTGTTTGATTGAAATGGATCTTATTTCTCCTTCTCTTATGAAGCTTAGTTTGGCTAAATATGATATTCTTGGTTGTAATTTATTTAAGAATACTGAATATGGTCCCCAATCTTTTCTGCTGTGTGTAGCATTTCTGCTGAGAGGTCCACAGCCTGACGGTATGCCCTTTGTAGGTGACTGGCCCCTTTTCTCTAGTGACTTTGAACATTTTCTTCTTTCATTTTGATCTTGGAGAATCTGATGACTATATGTCCTGGGGATGGTTATCTTTACAGTATATCACAGGGATTCTCTGCATTTCTTGCATTTGAATATTGGCCTCTCTAGCAAGGTCAGGAAATTTTCATGGACAATATCCTCAAATAAGTTTTCCATGATTTTGTTCATTCTTCTGTATTCTTTTTTCTTAATTTTCATCTGCCTAAGTTATTTTAGACAACTGGTCTTTGAGATCTGAAATTTTTTCCTCAGTTTGGTCAATTCTTCCATTAACACTTGCAATTATATAACGAAATTATTGAAGTGAGGTTTTTTTTTTTAGCTCTTATCAGATCAGCTAGCTTCTTTCTTAATATGGTCATTTCATCTTTCAGCTCCTGTATTGTATTATTGTATTCCTTTGATTCCTTGAATTGGATTTTGAATTTCTCCTTAATCTCAATGATCTTCATTCCTGTCTATATTCTGAGTTCCATTTCTGTCATTTGTGACATTTCAGCCTTTTTAAGAACCATTCCTGGGGAAGTAGTGGGCTCATTGGAGGTAAGTCAACACTCTGGCTTTTTGAGTTCCCAGAGTTCTTGCATTCATTCTTTTTCATCTGTGTGGGCTGATGTTCCTTAAGTCTTTGAAGTTGCTGTCCATTAGATGAGGTTTTCTTTTTTTTTTTGCTTCTATCTTATTTTATGCCCTGATACGCTGCATGTTTGATTGTGGCATAAGGTTGGTTCAGTCAACTGGCTTCATTTCTGGAAGTTTCTAGGGGCCAACACTCAGTTCAGCACTCCTGACCTATGTACTCTTACTGTGCATGTGTACAGGGCCCCCAGCTTTGTTCTCTGGCCCCTAGAGCTTAGAAACCTGCTATGCTGGAGGGGCCTAAGTGTTCCTGGTCTGCCATCCACAATATCTGGATGAGTAGTGCTGTCCAAAGCACTTCATTAGGATGGTGGCAGTGGGAACCGTGCTCGTTCACTCATGCCAGCAGCTGCAGTAGCACAGTGGGGTGTACGTGTGCTGTCTGGTATGTGGTACCAGCAGGAGTCAGGCTGCTGCATATCTGTATGTGTTTACATCAGCAGCAATGGAGACACGGCACTGGTGAGGGTGGGGCCACTGTGTCCACACTTGCATTCATGTACCAGCAGCAGTGGTGGCATGGGGTTGCCCACTTTTGTGCATGGGTTTGCAGCAGCTGCGGTGGTAATGTAGGAGGGATGGGGTTTTTGGCATCCATGCTTGTATTCACACTGGCAATGGCATACAGCCAGGTGCCTGTGTGTCAGCAATGAGGTAGCATGGTGGGGTGCACTCACACTGGCAGAAGTTGCACAGGGGCTGTGTGTGCACATGTGGTCTAGTGGGTAAGTGGTAGGAGGTGAGGTCCACCTGTACACATGTGTCAACCAAGTGGTAGAAGGGTGATCATTGGGAAGTTGTGCTGAGAAAGCATTGTGGGAAGGCTCTGGGGTGAGGTTGTGGGTTGGCTGTTGCCTGTCAGTGGGAACCAATCTGCTGGAGTTCTTTTGTGGTCTGGCATGGTCTACCAGTGAAGGAGCTATGATGATAGCTCTGAGGAGACAGTCTGTTTAGGCATCTAAGACTGTATTGCAAGCAGACATGGTCAGGTTGCAGCCCCAGGAGAGGCAAGCAGACAGATGGCCCTCAGAACCATGTGGCCCTGGCTAATGGGCAAAACTACACTGCTTTGTCCAGGTCTGACAGTCACCTGAAGCTTAAAGTCTCCTAGAGGAGTATGGCCAACCTTGAGGGATAGGCATCCCTGGTTTTGCTTCACTGCAGACATATCCACACAAAACCATAAGGGCTCTGCACAGGCCGGAGATCTACCCCTACTACCTTTCTAAGCAGCTCTCCATCCTAGCTCAAGTGTCCTTGGATGTATGGGGGTCTCCTGCTGTCTGGATTCTGGAGGTCCGTGGCAACAGTGGGCCATTCCTCACCTTTTCAATTTACTCTTTCCCTAGGAGTTGCTAGGGCCAGAAACATGTCCCCATGCTTGGTAGTGCTGTTCAGCATTCCCAACTTCCTCCCCCAACAGCCCAGTATCAGCATCCTCTCTCCATGCACTGTAAATGCCTTTACTCTGAAGATCTGCTTGGAGTATGCCAGTCTTCCCAGGCTTTTGGTGAGAGATGTTCCTTCTGGCTGCATCTAGTTGCCCATCTTGGTTTCCCCCTCTAACCTTTGTCATTGTTTTCTTGATTTCTGAGTTCTCTCCCAGCTTACAGAGCAGAGGAGTGCCACTACTTATTTTTGTATGTTGATTTTGTATCTTGTGATTTTACAGAATTTATCTGTTTTAACAGATTTTACATAGAGTCTTTAGGTTTTCCTAAGTATAAGATCATGTCATATGCAAACAATGCTAATTTGAATACTCCCTTTCTGATTTAGATGTCATTTATTTATTTTTCTTGCCTAATTGCTCTGGCCAGGACATTCAGTATTATGTTGAATAAAAGTGTTGAAAGTGGTTATCCTTGTCTAGCTCCAGATCTTAGAAGAAAGGCTGTCAATTTTTCCCTATGCCCTACAGTATTGGCTGTGATTATTTTGAGTTATGCTCCTTTTATACCCAGTGTTTTGAGAATTATTATATAAAGTATAGTTGAATTTTATCACATGCTTTTCAGAGTATCTATTGAAATGATCATATGATTCTTGGTATTGCTTATGATAATGTGATGTATTGTGTTTATTATTTGCATATGTTGAAGTATCCTTGCATTCTGGGGATAAATCCTATTTGATCCTGGTGAATAATCATTTTAATGTGTTGTTGAATGATTTGCTAGTATTTTGTTGAACATATTTGCATCTATGTTCATCAGTGATACTGTCCTATAGTTTTCTTTTTTGTTGTGTTCTAGTCTGGTTTTGATAGCAGTGTAATGCTGGCCTTGTCAAATGAGTTTGGAAGTATTTTATCCTTTTGCATTTGTTTTGAGGAGTGGGCATTAATTCTTTTCTTAATGTTTGGTAGAATTCAGCAGTGAAGCTCTCAGGTCCTGGGCTTTTATTTGATGGGAGACTTTTTACTACAGCTTTGAACTTCTTATCTGTTATTGGTTTGTCAAGCTTTTTATTTCCTCATGTTTCAATTTTGGTAGATAGTATGTGTCCAGGAATTTATCAATTTCTTCTAATTTTTCCAATTTTTTAGAGTATAGTTGTTAATAATAGTTTTTAATAATTCATTATATTTCTGTGGTCTCAGTTGTTATTTCTCCTTTTTCATTTCTAATTTTAATTTGAATCTTCTCTCTTTTTTCTTAGTCTAGATAAAAGTTTGTTGATTTTGTCTTTTTATAAAACTAAGTTTTTGTTTTATTAACCTGTGTTGTTATTTTAATCTTAATTTCATTTATTATTGCTCTAAACTTTATAATTTCTTCTTTCTACTAATTTGGGCTTGGTTTGTTTTTGCTTCTCTAGTCTTTTGAGGGATATTGCCTAGTTGTTTGTTTGAAATCTTTCAACATTTTTATGTAGCTGTGTATTGGTATATACCTCTCTCTTAATAAAGCTTTTGCTCTATCTCACAGATTTTGATATGTTATTTTTCCATTTTCATTTGTTTCACAAACATTTTTACATTTTTTTCTTAATTTTTTTATTGATCCATTGATCATTCAGAGTCATGTTGTTTAATTTCCATGTATTTTTGTAGTTTCTGAGATTCCTCTTACAGTTGATTTTTAGTTTTATTCCATTGTGGTCAGAAAAGATATTTAACATGATTTCTACTATTTTTAATTTGTTGAGACTTGTTTCATGTCCTAAGATATGGTCTCTTCTGCAGAAAGTTATATGTACTGATGAAAATCATATGTATTCTGTAGCAGTTGGGTGAAACACTCTGTTAATATCAGTTAGGTCCATTTGGTCAATTGCGTAGTTTAACTCTGATCTTTCTTTGTTGATTTTCTGTCTAGATGATCTATCAGTTATTGAGAGTAGATGTCCATTATTGAGAATTAATGACCCCTAGTATTGTGGTATTTAAGTCTATCTTTCCCTTTACATCTATTAATGTTTGCTTTATAAACTTGGGAGCTCTGGTGTTTGATGCATAGAGATTTATTATTGTTATATCCTCTTATTGAATTGACCTCTTTATTGTTATATAGTGACCATCTTTATTTCTTTTTATAGCCTTTGATCTGTTGTCCATTTTATCTAAGTATACTTAGATTTATTTCAGTCTTCTTTGTATGGCTTGTGTTTATTTATATTGGATATGTTTACTTAGAGATTCTTTGTAATTTATCTGTTGATTTCTTTTTTTTTAAATCTGCTACATCACTACCTTCTTTTCAGTACTAGATGATGTCTTAAGTCCAGGTTTGCCTTGGTTCTAGTAAACAATCATAGCATTGCCTTTTCCAAGTGAGAAAGGTCCCAAAGCTAATCTCAGTAGCGTGGGAAGACTGGCTAGGGGGTTCATGCCCAGGGAATCTGTGAAACAAATCTCCTACAATGTGGTGCTGCCGAACAGCCACTCTAATTTAGAGTGACTAAAGTTATAGGTCTTTTTGCCAAGTTACAGAACAGAGTTTCTTGGGCTAGTTATGCTAGTCCTGCTTCCTGCTCTTTATCACTGACTGTCCTCAGGAATACTTCTTCCTTCAGGAACTCCCATCATTTCCTGTGGATTGAGGCAAATATTGGTCTCTGGCCAGAGATTCCAAAATGGCAGGGAAGCTTGTTGTCCATCTCAATCTTACATTTACCAGGGGAGAAACTATAAGTTAGGGGAAATTTCCTCATGCTTAGGGATACACAGATTGGAGGAGGGGCATCACACATATAGAAGTCAGATTTGTTTTCTGTCTTCTTGGAGTTTTTTCAAGTCTCTGTGGTCTTAGAAACTGGCTGTTCCTCATACTTGAGTTCTGGAATCTTGCTGGTAATAATCTGTTCTATATATTTGTGTGGGGCTTTTTTGTGGAGGAGAGTGAAGCCAGCTTGCTTCTATGCTGCCATTTTGAAATTGGAAGTCTAGTGCCTATTCTTTAATGTGCGTTTTTTTCTTTTTTAATCTTCATAGGCATTTAACGGGATAAATGCAATTATTACCCTTATGTTGAAAATGCAGATATTGACACAGGCATGTTCTGTAGCTAGATTAATGCTCTTCAAATGCAGGGAAGTACATGCTCAATGACTGGAATGAATATATAAATATATAAGAGAAGATAAAAACACTCAAAATAAACATAAACATTTTCTCTTAGAGAAAATATTATAGTGTTGGAAAGATAAGCAATATACAAAACAAATAGGTAAGATATATAATATGTAGAAAGTGATGAACACTATGCTGAAAAAATGTAGGAAGAGAGACAAGTGATGCTAGGGTAGGGAACTAGGAAGTTTTTACTGAGATAGCAACATTTGAATGAAGATCAGTAGAAGGTTCCAGAGCTCTCTTGGAAGAGAAAATTCCCAAAAGTGGGAACTCTCTCAAGGCAGAAACGTGCTTAGTTATTTTATTTCAAAGCAGCAATGACAATTTCTCTTGGGATAATTAAGAAGGGTCAGATTAAGTAAGTGAGCTAATTGGAGGACGTGGTAAATGGAAGGTGTGAAGTTGTGTGAACCATTTTAATTACTGCCATGGAGTGAGAAGCTGTTAAGAGAATTTTTGAGCAAAGGAGTTTTGTTGATTTAATATATATTTAATAGAATCACACTGGCTTGTATTTAACACAATACACTAGCTGCTGTATTGCATCAAATGATAAGGAGCATGAACAACTCAGGGAGGCCATTTAGGTGGCTTTTGGCAATAAGCCACAGAGAAGAGATGCTGAGAAAGGAACTAGGAAGATAGCTATTCATTTAGTAAGAAGTAGTTGTATTCTGAATATTTTTGAAGATAGCTAGTGGGAATTCCTGCCAAAATAAAATGCAATTGCCTTTATAATTTTAACATAACACATGACAAATCAAAGTTTCCATGTTCATTTTGTAAACCTAGCACACCCACCAAAAGCATACTTTAAATGAAAACTGTCAAATAAGACTCTGATGTAAAAGCATTTAGAAAAGAAACAAAGTCTACTGGCAAAGAAATCTTACAAGGGAAAACAGGAGTACTGGCTTACCAAAAAAAAAAAAAAAAAAAAAGAAAAAAAAAGAAAGAAAGAAAGAAAAAACACCCACAGGAATAGCAAGGTTATTGATGGAAACCTGTCGTTGATGGAAAACTACAATTTCCCCATGTGATTTTCATATTTTCCAGGCTGCTTATAGATTTTCAAAAATCAGAACTCCAAAGCCCAGATTAAAAAAAAAATGTTCTTCTTTGAGGAGAGGTCAGGAAAAGCTCAAGGTTTCATTTATTTGGGGAATTAAAACTAAAAGAAGCTGATGTAACCCAGATGAGAAGGTTACTTATTTATTTATATTAAATTAAAATTTTAAATTAAATAATTAAAATTTGTTCCTAATCTAATGAAACACACATTTCTTCTTTTCCTCTTCTCTTAAATGGTTTCTGATAAACTGGTCACTCTCAGTGGAGGCAGAGCAAGGAGTTAGTTTCCTTTAAGGTAAATTACTTTAGCTGATATTAAAGTGGACCGTTGGTCCTAAACTGTACCTGAAATTTGTCTCCTCCTTAGGCTGGCGAAAGCAGCCCTTCCATACATTGTTGGGTGATTTGCGCTTTGCCTGAAAGGCTGATATCCAACCTCTGCACACTGGCAAAACTAAACATTGTGGTATTCACCAGATGGGGCCCTTTGTGTCTAATTGCTCACTCAGAGAGGGGATTTCTCTCTCATACTTCTTTCCAGAGAGAGCTCCTTTTTCTGATTTTCACCAATGTGCTGTATTCTGAGCCCAGGTTTTGGAAGGTAGTGTTACATACTTCATTATGTCTGATCTTAGGTAACAGAATCATATCCTTGCCTTGAAATTTGCTTCAACAGTTAATGAAAGAAAAAAAATCATATACCCATGGTACCCTAAGAAACTAATTAAATGAATCAGAAATATTTGCCTTTCTAATACATAGTTAATATTAACACAGTAATATACAGGTAATGAGTTTAATCAAAAACAAGAGTAAGTAGTGAATAATCAGAGACTCCCTGGTGGCAACTCAGGTAATCACATCAATAACATCTCATGTGTACTTCCTGAAAGAATACTGTTAGTCAATCACAGGTAGATTGAAATCTATAGTTGGGGAAGAAATTTTAGAAAACGACAGCTAAAGTTTTCTTCTACTGTAGAAAAGAAATATTATTTTTCAAAAACAGAAATGCCCATTTTAACAACTGAGACGGTAGAAGAGAGAGTGATGGATAATATAAATAAAATGAAAAAGGATTCTTAGCTGTTAGCAGAGACCATTGATATTAACTCATAATTATTGTCAGTGTAACTAAAATTGTTAAAAGAAATTCCAGAAAATATAAGCACTTACAATTTCATATTGGATTTAAAGGCAAATAATTTGTCCATCTCCAGCTGACAACATAAATGTAATTACTATGACATATTGGACAAGAACTTTGAGTCTTAATAGTTTTAGCTCTTAATGTTACTTTTCAAATAGTTAATACATGCTTGTGGTATAAAATTCAGAATTTGCAATAGTCTGTATGGTGAAAAGTGTATCTCCTATACTTTTCTCACTGAGCCACTTCATTCCCATTCCTAGGGGAAAACACTATTGCCTGTACCTTATGTATATACCTAGAAATATTCTATGTAGGTATAAGTATATATCACAGAATATTTCAGAGGCATCTTATGCAGTTCTAAACATAGAATTCATAGAAAATTATAGGTGCACACACACACTCATATTTGTGTTTGCATAGTTGTATACAACTATGTGTGTGTATATATATATAGTTTTTAAAAATTTGTTTCCTCTCACACATTGCAGCCCACTACAAATATATGTTCAATGGTCTCACGTTTTCTTTTATCCACTTAATGTGTCTTGGAATATGTCTACAATATAAAAAGCTGGCAGTGGAATTGCTGGATCAAGAACAATCCACAAATTTTCAGTTTTGATAGAAAATGCTTATTTCACCACCTAGAACTGGCACTGATTAGCATTCTTACCTTCAATGTTATCAACCAGCCTATTGCCCCAAAACCTTCTTTACAAAGTTGTTTATCAATTTCATGTTACATTTGTCAAATCTGCAGATGAAGTATAAATGCAATGTATTTTACATTGAATTTATTTAATTATAACAGGGATTAGGCACATTTTAATATTTAAGGCCCCTTTATCCTTTTCTGTCAATATTTAGTTTATCATCTTTACCCATTATTCTGTTGACTTTTTCTTGCATCTGCATATTTACATCTACTTGTGTAAATATGTCTGAGTGTGTAGATGGTAGATTCTCCTACTTTTCTCAGAGTTTTTCTGTATAATTTAAACTTGAGCTTATCCTGTTTTGCACATAACACATCTCCACTGTTTTTCCTATGGCTAATGGGAACATCAATGGTATCACAGGTTGGATTTTTGGGAAAGCGTTCAATGTGAGATGCTTATTACAAAGCGACAAGGGCATCCAAGTCTACGGAAGGGAGTGGGAGGAAGCAACACTGAACGGAATTCAAGTTGTAATGCAGGTCCCACAACAGCTCTACTGACTGTACAGGAAGCTCTGGAACTAAAATGCCCCTGAGATGCCAGGCCTTATTGTGCCCTCATTGATCAGTCATTGGATGCAGCTCTCTGCAAAGAGAAGGAGCCTTGAGACACTGGAACTGAGGCAACCCTTGAATAGGCTGACAGCTGAAGGCATCTGTCCACAGCACTTCCAGCAGACAGGGCAACAAGTCCATCACTGAAGAAATACTGGATGTGCACACATCATGGTTTGTACAACAGATGGGGAAAGAGACCTGATGAAAACCTAAAAATATGATTCCCTCTGTCATTAATTCTCTTTTAAAGTGCTTATATTGGTAGTTGGCATTGTTTAAATTTGAATCACATGGACAGTCTTTAGCCATTTCACTGGCTTTAATTTGAGTCTCAAAGGGAGTTCTTCAGGCTTTTTTCTAAATATAATATAATAGCAATATTGTTAAGAAGTTGGAATTCTGCATAATTACCATAAGATTAAGAAGTCGTTATGTTTAGTTTGGACATACGGAAACTGTAAATTGCATTGAAGATAACTTCATTTAGAATATTTTGATGTTTTTTTATTAGTTATACCCTTGGAGTCATGCCCTTGGAGAGGAGAGCTTTTATCAATATTTTAATGGGTCAACTATTAAAATTGTTTCACAACTTTGAATAAGAGTACACAAAGGTTTTAAAAAATAAGGTCAAATTGGAAACACGTCAGAAGAAAACCAGTGACATAGTATTAGAAACGGCTATGACTATGAAACTAATACATTTTTATAGACCAATAATAATTTTGTTTACATCATTTTAAATTATGAAGTAATCAAAATAAAGGCTTTTTATCTTGTATTAATGTTTGCACTAATTTGTAATTTTTGTTTTTAAAATAATTTTAGTTTAAAATATATTGGAATGTGATTTAGAAACCAAATCAAAATTGCCTACAAATTGGATGAGGTTGCAAACCAACTAAATGAGAGGAAAGACAACATAACTCCTAGAATTAGCACAGTTGGTAGTCAGTGCAAGTGGTATTGATTAAATTACACAACTAGAATATGATAAATTTTTGAAAGAGGTGTGATTTGTTAGAAGGTAAAACACTATTCACAACAGCAAAGACTTGGAGCCAACCCAAATGCTCATCAATGATAGACTGGATAAAGAAAATGTGGCACATATACACCATGAAATATTATGCAGTCATAAAAAAGAATGAGTTCATGTCCTTTGCAAGGACATAGATGAAGCTAGAAACCATCATTCTCAGCAAACTAACACAGGAACAGAAAACCAAACACCACATGTTCTCACTCATAAGTGGGAGCTGAACAATGAGAACACATGGACACAGGGAGGGGAACATCACAAACCGGGGCCTGTCGGGAGGTTGGGAGCAAAGGGAGGGAGAGCATTAGGACAAATACCTAATGCATGTGGGACTTAAAGCCTAGGATGACTGGTTGATGGGTGCAGCAAACCACCATGGCACATGTATACCTATGTAACAAACCTGCACCTTCTGAACATGTATCCCAGAACTTAAAGTAAAATAAATAAATTTAAAAAAATAAAAAGAAGTTAAAACAAAAGAAACTTGGTTTTAAAAGTATTTCAACATACATTATTTTTTGACTGTCATTTTTCTTTCTTAGGTTAACTAAATTAAGTATATTTTTCTTGCAAATAAATATTTCATACAATGCAAATAAAAGTTATATGGAATTTCATTGCAAAGAGAGAACAAGAATTGTAAAACTGATGAATTAGATCCTATAAATAGGCATTAGCAATAGCTTTGGTGAACAATGCATTACATTTTATTACAAAGGGCAATTTTTTTTTTTTTTGAGACAGAGTCTCGTTCTGTCACCCAGGCTGGAGTGCAGTGGCATGATCTCAGCTCACTCCAAGCTCCGTCTCCCAGGTTCACGCCACTCTCCTGCCTCAGCCTCCCGAGTAGCTGGGACTACAGGTGACCACCACCACGCCCAGTTTTTTTTTTTTTTTTTGTATTTTTAGTAGAGACGGGGTTTCACTGTGTTAGCCAGGATGGTCTCGATCTCCTGACCTCATGATCCACCTGCCTCGGCCTCCCAAAGTGCTGGTATTATTACAGGCATGAGCCACCGCGCTACAAAGGGCAATTTAAACATTTTGGCATAACTCATATACTTCCATAACTCAGAAATGGCTTGGCAGGTATCCAGATTCCATTGTGGGTAAAACTGCACACTGTAAAAAAGTGAGAATTTGCCAACCAATTATATTGAATGATTGGACAGTAGGAAGAATTTACCTCTATTTTTTAAGAGACACACGTAAAGGATGCAGATAGATATACAATAAGAATGCAACCTCAAATAAACCTGGGATAGATACATTAATAACAGGCAAAACAGACTTTAAGTCAAAAACTTTACCAAAGTTTATGAAAGGCATTAATCACAAGAAGATACAACAATTTTCAAGTGAAATGACCTAAAAACATAAACATAAGAGATACAAAAGAATTAATAAACTAAAAGAAGATATTGATAAATTCACAATGATAACAGAATATTTTAACAATTCTATTTCAGTAATTGAAAAATTGAATAAAAATTATTAAGGATATTGGAAAAATAAGATTCATTACAAATTTACTGATATTTAAATAGAGCATTATGCTACCCATAAAAGCATGACATTCATGCCTTTAAGTATACCTGGAACATTCACAAACATTGATGATACATGGACCATGAAGCAAGTGTCTATTAATTACAGATTTAAAATCATAGAATCTGCTATCTAGCCATAGCACAATTTAGCTGTTAATCAACAGGACAAAGCTAACTAGAAAACAAAATCCACATATTTAAAAATTAACAAAGTGCTTTAAGTAGTACATGGTTCAAAGAATAAACAATGGGAATTCGTTAATACTTAAATCAATTTTAACAGAAAACTAGTGATCAAAATTTGTAGAATCCAGTTAAAGCAAAGAGAATTTTATACCTTAAATGCATGAAAATATTAGAAAAAAATTAAAATTAATGAGATAAAAATCTCTCTTAAGAAGTTAAAGGATGGCAAAATAAAACCAGAGGAAAAATGATTAATAAAATAATAGAGATAACAAGAATTCATGAATTAGAAAACAAACTAAAAAATAGAGGTAACATACTTAAAAGTTTGATAAACTTCTGTCAAGACTGATCAAGAAGAAAAACATCAAGAATAAAAAAGTAATTATCATTACAGATGCTGCAGTTAATAAAAATATAAGAATTGGATATTACAATGATGTCTTTGAGAATTTAGATGAAATGGAAATTTTTCCTAGAAAGTGTTAATTACCAACACAGATGTAGAAATATAGAGAAATTGTGAAGAGTTCTACAATCATTACAGAAATTGAATCAGTAAATAAAATCCTATGGCAAAGAAAACTACATGGAGAGTTTCTTTAGTAAATTCAATCAGTAGTCATGAAATAAATTATTAAAATGTTAAACACTCTCAGAGAATAGAGAAAGAGGCATTTTCTCCAAATTAATTTATGAGACCAGCATAATCTTCACATCAAAACCTGAGTAGTACTTTCTGTGAATAAAAAACTATAGTCCAATTTTACCTATGAAAAGAGAGAAGTCCTTGAAAATGGTTATTATTAAACCTTATTCAAAAACATTAAAAAAGAATAATAATACATCACACGCAAGTTGGATTTATCACACACATCCATGGTTAGTTTAGGAATATAAAAGTTACTCAGTACAATTCACCTCATCAACAGATTAAATTAGAAAAACGATAGGTGTAGAAAATAATTTTGGAGAAAATCACCAGCAGTTTATTTAAAAAAAAAAAAGATGAACTTTTATTATCACAGGGATTAAATAAAAATCCTTTAAGTGATTTAATATTACCACAAAAATTTTACAGCAATATACAAAACTTCAGAATGAAACACTGGGCCAGGTGCAGTGGCTCATGCCTGTAATCCCAGCACTTTAGGAGACCAAGGCGGGTGGATCACGAGGTCAAGAGATTGAGACCATTCTGGCCAACATGGTGAAACCCCATCTCTACTAAAAATACAAAAATTACCTGGGCGTGGTGGCGCGCACCTGTAATCCCAGCTACTCGGGAGGCTGAGGCAGGAGAATCGCTTGAACCCAGCAGGTGGAAGTTGCAGTGAGCCGAGACTGTGCCACTAACACTGCACTCCAGTCTGGGGACAGAGTGAGACTCCGTCTCAAAATAAAAGAAAAACAAAAAAGAATGAAACACTGACAGCTTTCCCTTCCTATTCCCACTCCTATTCAGTATTCTACAGTATGCCCTGGTGAATAAACAAAAAAGAAAATTTGGGAAAACATCTAAATTTGTGATTATTCATAGACAAAGTCCTTTTATATGTAGAAAATACAAACAATTTAACACATCAACTTTAAGATTTAATGATTACTTTGCAAAATTACTGGATTCAGGGACGACACACAATAATCAAATGAAAGGTCTGCATCACCAAGAAATACTTTCCAAAAGAAGTGTCATTTATAATACCATCAAGAAAATAAAGTACATTAAAAATAAACTAATAAAACAAGGGCAAGACTTGTGTAGGGAAAACTACAAAACATTAACATTCCAGAAGACTCAAATAAATGGAGCTATATGCTATATTTATGTATTTGAAGACTCAATATTGCAGAGATGTCAACTCTCTCAAATTTATGTAACCAATACAGACCACTCAGAATCCCATCATTGATTTTTAAGTTGGCAAACTGTTGCTAACATTTCTTAGGCAATACACAGTGCCAATAATAGCTGAAACACTCCTAATAGTGACAAGTTTACTTTTAAAGCTGAAACTTTAGCAAATATTAAGACTATCACAAACAAAACAGTATGAGATAACAATGAAATAAAATAGAAATCACAGAAACAGACATGCACATTTATGGGAATAGGATTTAAGGAAAACATTAGAGAAAAATGGAATTTTTAATTTATAAAACCGAAATGCCTGATAAGGGAAGACTCTGCACCTGATTTTTTTCAAAATTTTATTTGTATTTAAGCCCTTTAATTCTCAGCTTCTATAATCAGATTTTTAAGTTCCATGAAAAGCTCTCATGGAATTTTGATTGAAATTGCATTATATTTTGGTATAACTGAGAAGAATTTACAATACTGATTCTCTATATTAACAGAGAGTAGTATTTAACTTTCCATTTATCCAAGTCTTATTTGATGTCTTTTAATAAATACTTATAATTCCCCTTTCATGTCTACACATAATTTATTAAGTAAATATCTTGATACTTTTAGATGTCACTGCTTTTGTGAGTGATATTTTTAAAAATGCATTTTCTTCATAAATATTATTCATGAATAGGAATGCTCTGATGTGTATCTAAAATTCTGAGTTTCTTGGATTTTGTATGTAGATAGCCATATGTTTTTGGATAGTGATTTTTTTATTTCCAATCCTTATGAAATGTTGTATATTTTCTAAGTATAAAATCAAATTATTTGATAAAAGTTTTAATTTCCATTCCTTATTTACTTTCCATTCCTTATATATCTTATTTATTGTAATAATTTTCTTAAATTAGGACCTTGAACGAGATTATTAATACAAGTACTGATATCCAGTATTATTGTCTCATCTCTGATTTTAAATTCCTGATTCTATCTTTAAAAATCAATGAGTATTCAAAAAAATTCTTGTCACTCACAAGATTCACCAGATATTTGTGAATAAAAATTCCAATATTACCATATTATTTAACAATGTAGAAAAGGAAGTAAACACCTTAACTTGTTCGATAAATTTAACACAGTTTTTAAAGAAAAATGCTTGATAAAGGTGAGATAGAACATGCAAAATTATGAGCTAATAACACTAATACCTTTTGAAATTATTGCAAACCAAATCATTTACAGATTTTATGATCCAATTAATTTAAAATGCATTTGTTAAGATTCACATTCATTACTAATGAAAACCCATGCCAAGCAGTATGAAAAAGGACATCAATAACCCAGTAAAGAGTACCTACCAAAACTTCAACATCTATTGTAGTTCATGTAATGATGAAAACGTTTCCTCTGAGTTAGGGAACAAAAGAAGATTATCTCATATGATCACTTCTAGTCAACAGAATTCTCCAGGGACTAGTGAGGACAGTTTAAGTTGGAAAAAATGAATGTAAGGTACAAAAATTGGAAAACTCTTATTCTTTGAACCCTCTCTCAGATTAGCTAACACAAAGCTAAATCTTGTTATCAGTTCTTTGAACACTCTCTGAGCTATCTCACCATTTTCTATGATGTACATTCTCCCTTGCTGCAATGAATAATAAACCAAACTTCTTCAACTACAGATATATCCCTGGTGATGCTTGAATAGAGGGCATCGGCAGAATTGATCAAAATGTTGAGTGAGATTTGCACAGTGGTATGTAGGGATTAAATCACTCTTTGTTACATGAACAGTGTAAGAAGATATATGGGCACCGTAAAGGGCAAGGTATGTGAAAAGGAAACAGAAAGTTGTCTAATGTAACTGGACTATCAAGTGTGGGAAGTTCATGCAATAGAGAATGAGAATAATAACAAACTGTGCAATACATTTTAGATAAAACATGACAAAGGTATCTCAATTATAAAAGTAAATAGGGCAAATGTATTTTTATCAGTTGCCTAAAGCAGATATATGGTTGAAAGATTGGAGGGTATGCATTTGTATATATGCATGCACACACACACATATATGATTTAATTATATTTTTAAAATCTATGTGGTTTGAGACATGGTCAGTTTTAATATCATACTTCTTATTCCAGAAATATAGTACATCTTTTTGAAACAATTCAAAAGTTAGAACAAGATTATAAACTGGGAAAAAATTTTGCTGTTCTCTGCTAATTTTTTAAAAATTCTCCCTCATAGTCCAAATTTTAATTCTGTTTTAGGGCTAATAACGATATTTCAACTTAATAAAATAAACATTCCCTGCTTTCCTCAGAAGTTGATGCCTTTATGATTAGGGGTGGCAGCAGGCGAAAGTCTTGTGTTTAGTTTTAACTGTACCTTATCTTGGCTCAAGATAAAATCTTCACAATCTTTATTGCAACTTAGAAACAGACTGTGTTTATGAGCATATTTCAATTGCAGACACAATAAAAGGAATGTCACCTTGAATTCATGCTTTACTTTAAGCTTATGTCTCTCTGTAACTTGGTTGTTTATTTTGATAATTTAAACTATGACCCCTGTTAAATAAATATACTACCTAGTAATAAAGAGACTGGTTGCCAAAATAACAAACAAATATGTACTTTACTTAATACATTTCATTTGATGTGGTAGCATTTGGCAACTACAAGGTCTTCACTCAAAGTAATGACAATAAAGGAAACACATGGGTAGACCTCTTGGTATTCTTCCAATCTGTGAACAAGGGATGATTTTCTATATGTTTGTGTCATCCATGATATATATTTTTTTCAGTGTTCAGTAGTTTCGCTCCTAGACATCTTTCATCTCCTTGATTAAATATATTTCTACATATTGTCCTTTTTTGGTAGTTATTGTAAATGGCAATGAGTTCTTGATTTGGTTCTCAGTTTGATCATTGTTGGTGTATAGAAATACTACTGAGTTTTGTGCATTGATTTTATATCCTGAAACATTACTAAAGACATTTATGAAATCCAGGAGTCTTTTGGAGGAGACTTTAGGGGTTTCTAGATATAAGATCATATCATCTGTGAATAGGTATAATTTGACTTTCTCTTTTCCAATTTGAATGCATTTTACCCTTTCTTTTGCCTGGTTGCCATGGCTAAAGCTTCTAGTACCGTGTTGAATAGGAGAGGTGATAGTGAACATCCTTGTCTAGCTAAAGTTATTAGGGGGAATGCTTTCAACTTGTCTTAGTTTCACATGCTGTTGGGTGTGGGTTTGTCATATATGCCTTTTATTATTTTGAGGCACGTTCCTTCCATGCCTAGTTTGTTCAGGGTTTTCATCAAAAAGGTATGCTAGATTTTATTGAATGTGTTTTCTGGTCTATTGAGACTATCATATGGTTTAGGTTCTTAATTCTGTTAATATGGTGAGTCACATTTATTGATTTGCATATGTTGAACTATACTTGAATCCCTGGAATAAAACCCACTTGATCATAGTGTATTATTTTTTGACATGCTGTTGGATTTGCTTTGCTAGTATTTTGTTGAGGATTTTTGTATCTATGTCCATTAGGGTTCTTGGCTTCATTCTTTTTTGTGTGTGTGTGTGGCGTCCTTGCCTGATTTTGGTATTAGGCTTATGCTGGCTTCATAGAATGAGTTAAGAAGGATTCCCTCTTCCTTGATATTTTGGAAGAATTTCAATAGGATTTGTATCAGTTCTTCCTTGTATATCTGGTTGAATTCAGCTATAAATTCATCTGGTGGTGGGCTTCTTCATCTTAGAATATTTTTTAAATTACTGATTCAATTTCACTACTCATTATTAATCTGTTCGGAATTTCTATTTTATCCTGGTATAATCTTAGGAGATTGTACATTTACAGGAATGCATCTATTCCCTCTAGGTTTTCTAGTGTGTGCTCATAGAGATGCTTATGATAGTTTCTGATGATCTTTGTATTTCCGTGGTATCAGTTGTACTGTGACCTTTATCATTTCTGATTGTGCTAATTTGAATCTTCTTTTTTTCTTGGTTAATCTAGCTACCAGTCTATCAACTTTATATATCTTTTCAAAGAACTAACTTTTTCTTTTATTAATGCTTTATATTATTTTGATCTCTATTTAATTTAGTTCTGCTCTGATCTTTGTTATTTCCTTTCTTCTGCTATCTTTGAGTGTGGTTTTTGTTTTTTTCTAGTTCCTTGAGGTGCAATGTTAGGTTGTTAATTTGAGCTCATTCTATCTTTTTGATGCAGGCATTTAACACTATGAACTTTCTTCTTAGCCTTGCTTTTGTTGTATCCAAGGGGTTTTCATACGATTTGCCTTTATTTCCATTTGTTTAAAAATTGTTATAATTTCCACCTTTATTTCATTTTTACCCAACAAATATTTAGGAATGGGTTGTTTAATTTCCATGAGCTCCTTTAGGTATTGATTTCTATTGTTATTTTGCTGTGGTTTAAGAAAATATTTAATATAATTTTGATTTTAAAAAATTTATTGAGACTTGCTTTGTGGCCTAGTATATTATCTATTTTTGAGAATGCTCCATGCACAGAAAAGAAGAGTGTATATTCTGCAGTTGTTGCATGGAATGTTTTGTAAATGTTTGTGACATTCATTTGGTCTTCAGTCCAATTTAAGTCTAGACATTCTTTGTTAATTTTCTGCCTTGATGATCTGTCCCATGATGTTGGTGGGGTGCTGAAGCCCCCTCCCCATTATAATTTTGTTGCTCTCTATCTCATTTCTTAGGTCTAGTACTGTATTAGTTCATTCCCATACTGCTATAGGGACATACCCAAGACTGGGTAATTTATAAAGGAAAGAGGTTTAATTGGCTCACAGTTCAGCATGGCTGTCAGGAAACTTACAATCCTGGCAGAAGGGGAAGCAAACACATCCTAATTCACAAGGTGGCAGGAAGGAGAAGAATGAGGGCCAAGCAAAGGTGGAAGCTCCTTATAAAACCATCAGATCTTGTGAGAACTTACTATCATGAGAATAGCATGGGGGAAACTGCCCCCATTAGTCAGTTCCCTTCTACAACATGTGGGGATTATGGAATCTACAATTCAAGAAAAGATTTGGGTGGAGATAGAGATAAACCATACCATTCTACCCCTGACCCCTCCCGAATCTCAAGTACTCACATTTCAAAACGCAATTGATATGATTTGGCTGTGTCCCCACCCAAATTTCGTCTTGAATTGTAGCTCCCATAATTCCCATGTGTGGTGGGACCCAGTGGGAGATAATTGAATCATGGGGGCTGTTTCCCCCTACTGTTCTTGTGGTGGTGAATAAGTCTCATAAGATCTGATGATTTTATAAGGGGTTTCCCCTTTCACTTGCTTCTCACTTCTCTCTTGCCTGCCACCATGTAAGACGTCCCTTTGCTTTTTCTTTGTCTTCCAGTTGTGAAGACTTCACAGTCATGTAGATTGTGAGTTCATTAAACCTCTTTCCTTTATAAATTACCCAGTCTTGTGTATGTCTTTATTAGCAGAGTGAGAACTAATGCAACAATCATGCTCTTCCAATAGTCCTCCAAAGTCTTAACTCATTCCAGCATTAACTCAATAGTCCACAGTCCAAAGTCTCATCTGAGACAAGGCAAGTCCATTCCACCTATAAGTCTGTAAAGTCAAAAGTAAGTTGGTTACTTCCTAGATACAATGGAGGTACAGCACTGGGTAAATATACTCATTCCAGGTGGGAGAAATTGGCCAAAACAGAAGGGCTACAGGCCCCATGCAAGGCCAAAATCCCACAGGGCAGTCATTAAACCTTAAAGTTCCAAAATGATCTCCTTTGATTCCATGTCTCACATCTAGGGCATGCTGATACAAGAGGTAGCCTCCCACGGCCTTGGGCAACTCCGTCTCTATGGCTTTGCAGGGTATAGCACCCTTTCTGGCTGCTTTCATGGACTGGTGTTGACTGTCTGCCACTTTTCCAGGTGCACAGTGCAAGCCATCGGTGGATCTACCATTCTGGGTTCTGGATGATGCTGGCTATCTTCTCACAACTGGTGCACCAGGCAATGCACCAGTAGGGACTCTGTGTGGGGGCTCAACCCCACATTTCCCTTCTGTACTGCCCTAGCAGAGGTTCTTTATAATGGCTCTGCACGTGCAGCAAACTGGACATCCAGGTGTTTCCATCCATCCTCTGTAATCTGGGCAGAGGTTCCCCAACCTTAGTTCTTGACTTCTCTGTACCCCCAGGTCCAAAACCATGTGTAAACCACCAAGGCTTGGGGATTGCATCTTCTGAGGCAATGGCCTGAGCTATAAGTTGGCTCCTTTTAGCTACGGCTGGAGCTGAAGCAGCTGGGATGCAGGGCACCATGTCCTTAGGCTGCATAGAGCAGAAGAGCCCTGGGCCCAGCCCATGAAACCATATTTTTCCTCCTAGGCCTCCAGGCCTGTGATGGGAGCGGCTGCCGTGAAGGTCTCTAACATGCCATGGAGACATTTTTCCCATTTTTTGGTGATTAACATTTGGCTCCTCATTACTTATGGAAATTTCTGCAGCAGGCTTTTAATTTCTATGCAGAAAATGGGGCTTTCTTTTCTATCACATCATCTGGATGCAAATTTTCCAAAGTCTTGTGCTTTGCTTCCTGTTGAACACTTTGTTGCTTACAAATTTCTTCTGCCAGATACCCTAAATCATCTCTCTCAAGTAAAAGTTCCACAAATCTCTAGGGCAGAGGAAAATGCTTTCAGAATCTTTGCACAGCAAGAGTGACCATTACTCCAGTTCCCATCAGGTTTCTCATCTTCATCTGAGACCACCTCAGCCTGGAGTTCATTGTCTTTATCACTATCAACATTTTTTTGAAAGCCATTCAACAAGTCTCTAGGAAGTTCCAAACTTTCCCACATTTTCTGTCTTCTTCTGAGCCTTACAAACTGTTCCAGTCTCTGCCTGTTACCCAGTTCCAAAGTCACTTCAACATTTTTGGGTATCCTTATACCAGCACCCACACCTGGTACCAATTTACTCTATTAGTCCATTCTCATGCTACTATAAGGATATACCTGAGACTGGGTAATTTATAAATAAAATTGACTCACTTTTCAGCATGGCTGGGGAGGCTGTGGGAATCTTACAGTCATGGTGGGAAGGGAAACAAGCACGTCCTTATTCACATGGTGGCAGGAAGGAGAAGTGCCTAGCAAAAGGGGGAAAAGCCCCATATTAAACCAGCAGATCTCTTGAAAAGTCACTCAGTATCACAAGAACAGCAGCATGGGGTTAAGTAGCCACCAATGACACGTAGGGATTATGGCAACTACAATTCAAGATGAGATTTGGGTGGGAACACATTCAAACCATATCAAGTACTATTGTTTTATAAATTTGGGTGCTCCAGTATAGGGTGAATACATATTTAAAATTATTATATTTTCTTGTTGAATTGATTCCTTTATCCTTATATAATGACATTTGTCATTTTTTAAACTGTATTTTCTATAAAGTCTGTTTTCTTTGATGTAAATATAGCCACTCCTGATCATTTTTGTTTCTAATTTGCATGGCATATCTTTTTCCACTCCTTTACCTTTCAGTATGTAAATGTCTTTACCAGTTAGATGGGTTTCTTCCATGCAGCATATGATTGGATCAGGATTTTTTTTTTAATCTCATTCAGTGGAGCATTTAGTCCATTTACATTCAATGTTAATAAATGATATAAGAGATTTTGTTCCTGTCATATTGTTAATTATTACCTATTTGCTTTGCTATGTCAGTTGTGTAATTGCTTTATAAGTCCTGAAAGTTTTATATTTTCATGTGTTGTTATGATGATGAGTATTGTTTTCCATTTCCATATTTGGAACTCTTTTGAGCACCTTTTTAGAGCCAGTCCAATGGTGAACAATTCCTGTAGTGTTTGCTTAACTGGAAAAGACATTATTTTTCCTTTGTTTATGAAGCTTTATTTAGCTGGATGCAAAATTCTTGAATTGCATTTTTTTTTCTTTAAGAAGGCTGAAGATAGGATCTCAATATCTTCTGGCTTTTACAGTTTCTGCTGAGAGGTCCACTGTTAGTCTGATGTGATTTTTTTTTTATATATGATTAGATGCCTTTCTCTTGCCACTTTCAGAAATGTTTCCTTCCTGTTAACTTTGGAGAACCTGATGACTACATGCTTTGGTGAAGTTCTTTTTGCCCTGTATCTCCCAGGAGTTTTCTGAGCTTCTTGTATTTGGATTTCCAGATTTCTAACAAGACCAGAGAACTTATCCTGAATTATCCTCTCAAACAGGCTTTCCATGCTTTTTGCTTTTTATTCTTCTCCCTCCAGAGTAGCTACAATTTGTAGGTTTGAGCACATCATATAATCCCATATTTCTCAAAAGCTTTGTTTATTAAAAAAAAATCCCTTTTCTTTATTTTTGTCTGACTGGGCTAATTAAAAAAAAAAATCTGTCTTCCAGTTCTGAAATTTTTTTCTTCTGCTTGGTCTAACCTATCGTTAAAGCTTTCAATTGTATTTTATAATCCTGCAATTTTTTTTATGTCCAAAAGTTTTCTTTTTTAAAAGTAATTATCTTCTCTTTTAATCCTGAATTGTTTTTCAGATTTCTTTGTGTGAAGTTTCAATTTTCATTTCAATCTCATTGAGCTTCCTTAAAATCCATATTTTGAATTCTTTACATGTTATTTCAGAATTTTCATCTCTAAAGAGTAGGTTTTATTCTTTGAGGATTTCCTAATGCTCTATTTAATCATACTGCCAGAGTTCTTATGCTGGTTCCTTCTCCCCTGAAGAAGCTGTTACTTTTATTTTTGAATTTACTTTCATTTAGATTATTTAGACGGGACCTTTTTTTTTCCTGCCTTGAGGATGTGACTGTAATGTTTGTTGTGTTTGGATTTAATTATATGTGCTTTCATGAGATTAACGCTCTGTATGAGTTCCTTGGTTATAGACAGACTTTGTGTAGGGGGTTTCTTATGTGATAGTTACAGTAGTAATGTACTAGGCATATAAGCAGTGCTCACTGTATTCTCACTGTACTGAGGTCTCCACAGTAGGCAAGGGGACTGCACCAGCTTCATATCCCTGGCAGGCGGGAACATGATCCAGTTCTCTATCACACCCCTGTCCCAGGGCTTGGGACTCTCAGTTCAGTCAGACACTGTCCTCTATTTCTAGGTCACAATGTAGGCAAGAGCCAAGGAAAACACCTGTCTCACAGTTCTCCATGGAAGTGGCTTTAAGGTGAAACATATTCCCTCAGCAAATACAGACAGCTTTGCAGCTCACCTGTCCCCTGATACAGGAACAATGCTGTGATGTTGTTTTGTGTAGAGAGGGGAAAGGGCTATGCCTTTTAGTGCATGCTGGTAGGTGTCAGCTGTGGTGGTTTCAGCTGGTTGGGTCAGCTTGACCTCAGACCCTGGGAGGAATGATCAGGTTCTAGAGATGGTGGACCAGGCGAGGCAATCTGCAGTCCTCAAGCCCCTAGACAGCCCTCTGCATGCACAAGTTTTGGAAGGACTGGGCTGGGACTTGACCAGGAGATTTGCCCTTAGGTCTCCAAGTTCAGATGCTGGTAATGATAGGGAGAGGTGGTCAGGTTTTTAGGGCATGCAGGAAGAACACTCAGGCAATGGCAGGCTAGCTGCCCTGTGGGCCTGCCAACAGGGTAGGCAGGCCCCTCTCAGAGGCAGCAGTGGAGGCAGGTAGCTGAGGGATGCACAGACTGCTCATGCTTTTGTCCTGAAGCAGCAGAAACAACAACAACCATCCCCGGCATGCCTGAAGGCCCTCAGTCTCCATGCTCTCTCCCGGGCCTGCTAGCAGTGGCAGTGACAGCCCCAGCATGGAATGCAGGTCTCTGGGGACTGGGCTGTCAGAATGTATCAGGCTGCTGCTGAAAGGTTCAGGCAAGAGCGGGGTAGCTATGCCATGGAGGTGTCGGGAAGGAAGGCAGGCCCCTCTCAGCAGGAGCAGTGGAGGCTAGCACCTATCAGGCATGTGGCCCACTCATGCTTCCATCCTGCAGTGGCAGCAATGGTATTCATTGTTGGAGCACATGAAGGTGCACAGTCTCCATACTCCCTCCATGACCTGACTGCAGTGGCAGCTGCTGAGGCAGCAGTGCCAACCCCAGGGCAGAACACAAACTTCTAGGGTTTGGGGTTTCAGAATCATGCTGAGCTACAGTTGAAATGCTCAGGACGGGGCAGGGTGGCTGCACTGAGGGCCCACCACTGAATATGGCAGGCCTGCACAGAGGGAGCCAGTGGAGGCAGGCAACCATGGGGTGCATAGTTCACACTCTCTTCAATCTTGTAGCAGCTGCGGCTGTATCCATTGCTGGGGCACACATCGCTGCCCAGGCTCCATGCTCCATCCCTTACTTGGTGGAAGTCATGGCACAAGTGGTGTTGGCAGTCCCAGAGCAAAGCCCATGTCTCTAGGGTCTGGGCTTTCAGAGTGGCACTGGGCAGCAGCTGCTCAGGACTCAAATGCCTGTATGATTCTGTGCAATTTTGAGCAATGCCTCTGTGCAATCTGTAGGCAGCTCTCTGTGTTAGTCTGGAGGCCTGGGTTTGGGTGGTTGAGAGGCTGTCCTGTAGTTAGGACTATAAAAGTCTTCAGAGAAAGTGTGGATCCTCAGTAGTTCCCCACTCACCCCTTCCACAAGTGAGGGAGTCTCTCCCAGCTCCATGTTGATCACAGCCCAGCAGGCTGCCTGGCTTCTCTCTCATCTGCTTTCCATAATTCCTGTCACTTCTCTGATGAAATCCTTTGTTCTTTCTTAGATAATCTGTCTGAAGCGTAAATATTTACTTGTTATTTCTATTTCTCTCCATGGAAGAGGTGCCCACTAGCTACATCTAGTCAGCCATCTTGAACCAGCACTACCTTTTCTCATTTTTATTGGGCTAAGAATATTTTTTAAATATATATTTAAGACACATTTTTTTCCATATCTGAATGGCAAATATTTTCCCCTAGTATGTGACTCTTTTTCATTTTCTTAATAGCATCTTTTGAAACAAAAGTTTTTAATTTTGATAAAGTATAATTTATCATTGATTTCTTCTATGGATCACGATTTTAGTATCATATCTTAGAAATCCAGAACTTAAAATCATGAAAATTTTCTTGTATGTTTTCTTATAGAAATTTTACAGGTTTAGCTCTTACAATGAGAGCTATTATTCAGTTAAGCTAATTTTTTGTGTATTGTGTGAATCAAAGAGAAAGCTCTACATATGAATATTTCATTGCCCCAGTACCATTTGCTGATAAGTCAAATTTCCCCCCATTGAATTGCCCTGGCACATTTGTGAAAAATCAATGTACCACAAATATAAAAGTTTATTTTGAATCATTAAATCTATTCTATTGATCTACATGTATATTCTTATGCCACTATCAGACTCCCTATTATAGATTTAACATTAGCAGACTTCAAAGTGAGCAAATGATTTTACACAAAGCATACAGGTAGTAGCATCACCTGTATGTGTATATGTATATGTGTTCATCACATTGAACTTATACAATCTTACTAGTATTGGAAGAAATGCAAATTAAAAGAATGCTAAGAATCAAGTAAATTATAATTAAACAAGAATAATGAATTAATAATAAGGATAAAATCAAGTATAAATGTAGGCTTTGCAATTTCATGTTTGAGACTATACCCTGAAAAAATAAAAGCATTTACTTTTAGCAATGAACACAATGCAGCGTATTGTGTGAACGAAAAGTTTCTCTCAACCAACAAAATGAGGATAAATCATATGGCATACCACAATTTCAATAAAATGAAATAAATGCACACTCAGTCAGAAATGAAAGTACAGCATTAAAAAAAGCATGTTAAGTTGCATAAGCGAAGCTGAGAATAAAACAGAAAAACTGTAGAGCATTTTACTATATTGCTTGGAATAAATGACAAGGATGACATGTAAATTTTGTGTGATTAAACAGCATTATTAGCCTCACATTCTTTTGTTTTGCAAATTTGTCTTAGATGTATTTTTCTAAGAAATTATCTAAATTCACAATTATCACACACAAATATGTATTTTAAAATAGTAACATAATTTTATTAAAAATTATCCTTTTCTTTTCTTCTGTGTGTACGTGTGTCTTTGTAATGTATGAGCAAAGAAAACAACAATTAGGATACATCCTAATCTTATTGTGCAATAAACCTATAGATCTTAACATTTATGAAACAGGAGTTTTGTGTCAGAATAGATTTCAAATGATAGCTCAGTTTATTGAGTCAAGAAGACAAATCAATGCCACAAAGTTCTGGAAAATATTTCCTTAAGAGTAGACCTTACATTTTTAGGAGTTTTAATGGTTTTATTATTTTTTTTCAATTTTTCCATTTCTTGCACTTTATGTCACTCCATTTCTTACATTTCAATTACCCTCACCTCACTTCCACCACATGTATTCTTCTACATTTCTCCTTCTCTTATGCCTCTTATTATCTCAAGCCTAGTTTTGAGTCTAGTTGTTTTTAAAGGATAAGATGTTACCACAATTAGGGCATCAGCCTACATATATTGGCAAGAAACTCAAGGGATAAATAACAAATGAATAAAAGGAATGACATATCTGTTCTCAGAGGGAAAGATAACACTGTTAGCATTTTTTCCTCCTGTGAGAAGAAAGACCAAAGGCCAAGCTGGGATCTGGAACAAGTGATTTCAGATAAAAACATCTGTAGCAACAGAGTTTACTCTCCAGTATCCCCACACATAACACATTCTGACATGCCCTGTGCAAAAATCCAGCAGTTCGATATCAGGAGTTTTAAGAGATTCGCATGGGGATATAGAAACTTGATGGTCTTTTGTTACTAGTGGGAATATCTGTATTGGCCTCTTAATAATATGTTATTGCTATGAGAGAGGGAGCAGAAATATTTATTCTCTACTCATAAGATGACCATATTTTAAACTATCTTGTACAAACCCATGTGTTAATTGTGATTTGACTCTGACAATTATGATGTGTTTTATTTTTTTCTATATCTTCTTTGTTTTCTCCTGGCATCATCCTAATGCCTGATATTTTAGCATGGCCTTCTGTAATGTTCTAGCAGTTTAATGTAATCTGTCACCTTTTTCCATTTAGGTCACAGAAATTAATTGATGTTGTGCTTACTGAGCTATTAGTAATAGAGTGGAGAGGAATCTCTCCATTACACCATACTGCATTGCCTGAGAGTGCCTCTGGTCTGTGATGATGTTGTAATAAAGTTGTAATTGCAGAAAGAATATTTACCATCTTTAGCAAGAGAAAACATTATTTGGCAAGAGAAAAAATTATTGCCTCACCTCATTATGTCAATTAAAAATAGAAAAGCAAAATGAGTCTTCCAAATGTTGGTCTTCACAATATAGTTGCAAGTAATTTGATCTCTAAATCAATGCATCTGTGCAAGATAAATCTTAATTGCCTTCTACAGGTAAACTAAATAATAACCAATGTATTAAAATACTTTAATATTTTCTTTACGTTATGATGTTTTGACATCTTAAACTTTTCTAGCTAGGTCGTGACTGCTCCTCTTTGAGCTAGTTAATTCTTAAATATAATAAAGGGCTCATGTCTTTGATATGGAAACCAAGCAATCAGGAGCTTTATCTCCTCCGTCTGGCTCATAAACCCAGGAGGCAATATGCCTCTGCCTTAATCATCCCAGGGCCAGGTGCCAGGGAACCAGAGATCAGCCAGGTAGCCCAACGCCTTTTGTAATTATGCAAACTAGACAATCACCAATGGTTCACTCCATCTGCCTTACCTTTCCTTCGGAAACCTCAATAAAGGCAGTGGCCTAACTCTTCCCCTAGCTCCTGTCTTCTGCCTCCTGACTACCACGGTGTCTTTCCCATGTGAACTCAGGTGGCATTTTGTGCCTCTAGGACCTGTGAGTATAAAAAATTTTGTTTTCCTGAGCCTCGCCTGTGTCTCCTCTTGTGGCTACACCTAGCTGAACCAACTCATGAAAGAATACAAATGAACAACTTTAACTTTTGGTTGCTACACCAAAAAGTATGGTGAGGTCTCTTAAGACACAAATCTGTAGTCATTTTAGGGATTTGAATGTTTACTTTAATGAAATAATTTTAGGTTTATAAAAGTTATGATTTTATTGATTTATTGATTGCTCTTGCTGATTACTTGGGGATGAACTCACTGATTTGAGAGAAAGAGCATTTGATAGACTTTTTTTCCATTTATTTATAAATTTTAAAGAGTCAAAAATAGATGTTACAATGAATTATAGCTACATGAGATTATGTAATGATTTTCCTTATGTATTATTGAATGAGAAAAGCAAGCCACCGAATATCATCAGTCTAGTTTATTCTGCATATGTGTATGTGCACATGCATGCATGCATGCATGTGTGTGTGTGTGTGTGTGTGATAGATATATGGTTCTATTTAGCTTTCCATTAGTACAGAGAACAATAGAAGAAGACATTCAGTTTTTTCTTAACAATTAGACTTGGAATAGGGGCTCAACTATAGGGTGAAAAAGAGAAGAGGAGTAAGGAGTTACCAACCAAAGAAGAAAAGAAACAACAACAACAACAACAAACTGTCCTTAAATAAAAACAATTTGGTATTTAGTCACATTTGTTTATCCACATAAAATTAAATATATATAAACATATGTTAATAAATATGTATTTTAATTTAGCATGTTGGCTAAGATGAATAAATTAAAACACACACATGCAAACTATTAAAACTGTGATTTTAAAGACTTAGTGAGACATAACTTCAATGTAAATAATTAGTGATGAAGTGTAGAATTATTTTTTGCAAGCCTAATGACATGCATAACATTGTACTGTGCATATACTTGACAGTCAATAAACAATACACATTTATAGATGGTTTGGTGAAACATTTTAACTGCTGCTACCAGGGATTCTGTAAGAAATAATTTTTTAAACATTTACTAATTATTTTTATTTTAGGGGAGGGTATTTTTATATGCTGTCTCAGGAGGGGAAATCTGGGCCTTTGATGCCTTGGTCTACAGAACACAAAGTAAGAGCCATATTGTTATTTATAAAACATTATTAAGGGATTTTTATTTGGTGCAAGCAGGGAGAAATGGAACATGAGAAGTGAGGTAGCAATGCAACAAGACAGATGAGGTTGAGTTCTTTGGGGTACGGTGGCCAGAGAAATGATCAGTGGTGAGGAAGCTAAAGAATTCAAGAATAGTGGTAGATGTCTGCATTTCTGATACGTAGAAATGCTTCACCACTTAAAGCATCACTAAAATTTGCTATGCATTAAAGACTTCAGATGCAATGGTTTTTGGTAAATAGTTTGGGGGGAAAATGTGGAAAACTGACTTGGTTTTCCTTCTGGATGAGTGTGCTAACGCAGAAAGCAGTTATTCATGAGAGGAAGAATTCAAGTGAGAATGGGTGGAGGAGCAGCCACTGGTGTTGATAGTCCAAAATTGCTGTGAAAATATACACTTTCAGAATTTTGCTTATGTTTTAAGAAAGACTTTGCACTGCTTGTGAATAACAGGGGAAATATAGATTACCTCAAAGCCTCAACGAGATAATTTTGGGTTCCCAGTTGATTTGCATGTTCTTTTGCAAACATTCCTCCTATGTTTTTGGGTTTTTATTTGTTTGTTGTTGTTTCTAGCTCCCTTGTTGATGGCCACAGCCCACATCACTTGAATTTCTCTGGATCCCTCCTACTCTCACAGTGTAATCTATGGTTCAGGGTTCAGATACATTAACATTTGGGGAGCTTTTTAGAAATGCAGAATATCAGGCACACCCTAGACCTACGGAATCTGAATGTTAACAACTTCCCAGGTGTTTCCAATGTACCTCTAAGTTTTAGAACCACATCCTTAAAATACTGATAAGCCGAATTCCTACTATGCTCTGTGCAAAAGTGAGATAAATGTTAACTTCCTCCTGATTTGTCATCTGGATTCTTGAGAGCCATTTATGCCTTATGCCTCTAAGATTCTCTTGTGCAAACAACTTTTTATTTTCAGCCTAGAGTTCCTCTTTCTATAAGCCTCAGGCAAAAGTTCATTGCCCCTGCTGGGAAACTATTACCCAAGATAGGCAGGATGCTATCTTCTGCAGTCTTTTCTAACTCTCCCAGGCAGCTGTACAGAAATCTTTCTCCTATTTTTTTTTTTTTTCGGCTTAAAAAAAATCTCTCTTGCAAACAACTCCTGGCGGACTCACCAACTTTACACAGATAAGCCTAGAAACAGGCTGAGTCAAAATCTTGTGACACTACAGTCAATTATAAAGTGATATAATGTAGTGGTTGAGAACACAGATCTCTAAAGCTACACACTCTGGGATGAATCCCTGATCCTTCACTTGCTCTCTGTATAACCTTGGGCAAGCTCTGTAACCTCTCTGTCTCAATTTCTTCATCTATAAAATGAAGATAAATATAGCATCTAAAGATTAAATGAGTTAACCTATGCAAAGTTTCTACAGGGCAGTAGGTAATATTAAATATTTAAAATTACATATATTAGGTAATGTTAAATGATAAACATTAGATAATATTGTTGTTTCTCTTGAACAATAATATGATTTAGTCAATAACTGTGACCATGATTCCCCTTTCACCTGAACTCTGTGAGTACTTCATACTAATGAGGTAGGAGCAGGGTAGTATCTGCTTATAAGAAAACTAGGTGGTATATGAAACTTTGACCCTCTGATCCCTGCAAGTTGAAAACTATTGAAATGGGTTGGTTAGGAATGAGCTACCCATTAGTGTATCCAATTAGCATATGAGTGGTAGACCAGGATCCTCATGCACTCATGTATTAAACAAATAATTATTGAGCTACAATTATACAAGAGCCAGGGTACACAGTGATGGCAATAATTAGTTCCCACCACTAAGAACTATAAAGTTTAGTAGAAAGATAGACATGAAAATATAAAATTATAAAGGCATTAATAATAATGTGCATAACATACAAGGTAAAGTGGAAAAAAGCGTTGGAAGAAGATATTAGGTTGATTTATACAAGCCACACAGAACGTCACAGAAGATGCGACATTAATCTAAGACTTGAGAAAAAGAATAAGATTCCTCTGGTAAATAAGTCAAGTGATGACATCAGACCAATGAACAACAAATGCAAAGATGGTGCTGCAAATGTGAATTGTGCTTTGGAAGCTGCAAATAATTCAATATTTCTGTAGCCTAGATTTGGGGATGAGGGTGGTAGGAAAGGGAGCCAGATGGTAAAGACTCTGCATCTCATGTAGTAAACATGAAAATGTGTCTTTCAGGTAATGGGAACCACTGAATAATTTTTAAGAAGTACATGATATAATGCAACTTGTTTGATGAATCTCCAGGACAGAAGTGATGATTAGAAGGACTCAGATACTAAGAGTCAGTGAGGCAGCTGTTGGGTGTTCAGCTAAGGGATGACCAGTTCCTTAGTGAGAGGGAAGCTAGTGGGATAAGAAGTGAGGGATTTAAGAGATATGTAAGTAGGAGAATTGTTTCAACCTTGTGATTGCCAGGGTGCTGAAAATGCGTTCACATGAAGAAAGAACACTTTTACATTTCTAGCTAGATAATGAATAGATGGTGGAACTGATATAAAGTGGCAGTTTCCCTTCCCGTCTAGCCTAAAATATTCAGCATTGTGGATTTCCTGTCCTCTAAAAGATTCTTCAAAATTGCTTAGAAATGACATGCACAGGGAAAATTATCATCCACTGTGTTAGTGAAATCATCTGTAAGGTGCCAACTTTGTGATAGATTTACCATAAATAATACAGTTACTATTCTGTGTCAGATACCATATATGACATTATTGCTAATTATTGCAAAAATCCTGCAAAGATTTTTTTATTTTTCCTTTTACAGATATGGAAAGGAAGATTAGACAGGTAATAGCTTGTTAATGTCATATATTGGGAAAGGGTGAGTGGAGTCAGTGTTTAATTCCTATGCTGGATGACCTTGCTTACAACTTCATGAGCCACATGCCATTCTCTAGTCCCTGAAATTATTTTTTAAAACATAATGAAAAAGAGGCAACTTACATGTTAATTTGTTTTCTAGGATTATCTAAATGAATTCTATAGAATCCATTCACTAAGGTATCTATATTAATCCAGAATAAAGAATAATATAAATTATAGATTTATCAAAAAATTATTTGCTACATGTGAGAAATTAAAGGCTTCATCTTGATGATTTTGTGTTGTTGTTTTTTGAAGCTATGAAGAGTGGAGCGGTTATACAGTTATTGCCTAAAAGTTTTCTATCTTGTGAGGCCACTCCTTTTCTGTTATTTTGTCTAGAGAGAGAAGGGTTTTGTGGGCTTTTTGTTTGTTTTTCCTTTACTCATTGACATCTCTGTGTTGCCAGCTTTGTCATTTCCATGTCTGATACATAAGAAACAAAATCAAAACCAAGTAAGGGCCAGGAGTGGTGGATCACGCCTGTAATTTCAGGAGTGAAAGGGAGGCTGAGGCGGGTGAATCACTTAACGTCAGGAGTTCAAGTCTAGCCTGGCCGACATGGTGAAACCTCGTCTCTATTAAAAATACAAAAATTAGCTAGGTTTGGTGGTACGCATCTGTAAGCCCAGCAGGTGAATCACTTAAGGTCAGGAGCTTGAGCCTGGCCTGGCCGACATGGTGAAACTTTGTCTCTATTAAAAATACAAAAATTAGCCAGTGTGGCATCTATAATCTCAGCTACTCGGGAGGCTGAGGCAGGAGAATTGCTAGAACCCAAGAGACACTGCACTCCAGCCTGGGCAACAAGAGTAAAATTCCATCTCAAAAAAACAAAAAAACAAAATCTAAGTAAGGTCACCACTATGTTATTCTTTAGATCCCAAGTTATCTTTAATATATACCTTCTTCTCTTTATCTTTCACAGCCTTCTTATTTCTGTTTAATATATCATGTGCATGGTTTTTAGCTGTACTTAGTAGAAAAAGTAAGGAGAAATATTTAAAGTCTGTCTTCCTGGAAACTGAAGTCTTACAAAGTTATTATATAAATATGTTTCAGACAGAACCGGTGAGTTAAAGAAAATATCATTTCCCTTCGTGACTAAGTATTGCTCATTAGCTTGTATCAAGGTCTCTTAACGAAATTTTAAAGATGTCTGTCTGAGAAACAGTCATCTGAAGGCTTGAAAGAAATTGAGGAGGCACTTCTGAGTTGTTTCACTCACACGGTTGGCAAGCTTGTGCTTCATGTTACCAGGAGGCCTCTCTTCCTCACACACAGACCTCTCCAGAGGCTGTTTTAGTGTTCTGATGACATCGCAGATGGCTTTCCCCAGAGCAAGCCATTTCAGTAAGAGCAAAGCACAAGGAGGAATGACTCTAATGACTTAGTAATAGGACACACACAGTTAATTCCAAATATTTTATTATTTACATAGGTCTTCACACTATATCATAGAGGCAACTACACAACCCGATAAATACCAGAAGATGAGGGTCAATGGTGGCGATTTTGGATGTAGGTTACCACATGTGTTTTCAGTAGTCTTTGAAGCTTCCTTACATCCTGGTATACCAAGATCTTTCAGGATCACCTTCTTTGTTTCTTTCCCCAGACATGGAATCATTGATTTTGGTTTCTTTTAATGGAAAACGTGCATGTTTTCTGTTTGTTTCGATATGTAGTTTGAATCTGTAAGTTTAGACTTAGAGATCTTCATTCCATAAGATTGGTCTTTGTTTCTAAGTCATCTCAGTTGGATAGAGCTGGAAATCTGTGTATGTTTGCATGTTCATAGAGCTAGAGATCTGTTTATATGTTTGCATGTACACACACAAATGCATATGCATACATACGTATTTTAAGAAAAAAATTCATAATTTACACTGTTTGAATTTGTGTTAAGGATACAGGACTTTTACTTAATATCACATATCTTAGTCAGTTTATCTTTTCTTCCATGTCAAAAATAGTCTACCAACAATGTAATTACTGAAACAAGTTTAAATTTTTTATAATTTTTTTTTCCTTGAGATATATCCTATTAGAGACATACAGGAAAAATACATTATTGTATTTTAAATTCAGTTCAAGTGGTTTCTGTGAGGTGCTAATTATGCATCTAACAGAGTATGTAGATTTTATTTTACTTTAGACTCTTTAGAGGTTGTTTTAAGTATTTTATAATTATGTAAAATATTGTTACATAGTTAAAAAGTAAATCTTCAAGACAAACTATATTTGGAGAAATTTAGCTTCTGTCACTGTCCCCTTAATCTTAATCCTTTCCTTTCCTAACAGAGGATCACTGAATAGAGATCTGGTTTTTGTTTTCATTTTCTAAAACATATAAGCAAATATGAAGGCTTATGCTTATTCTCTACTTTTACGGAGAAAATCATAGCACAATATGCAAACCTTTTCCCTTCTTGATTGTTTATTTAATAATATATACACAAGATCATTTCACAGCAGTATATTGAGATATTTCTTATTCTTTTTTAGAAATGCATACTATGTAATTATGTGTAGGAGCCATAGGGGAATAATGCCCTTTAGGATGAAGGGCATATTTTTTTTAATAAAATGACATTCTAATTAACATGAAAACATATTTCTTAAAACAGGAAAGTAAATGTTTCTTTCTCATTAAACATCATATTACTAAAAAAGAAATAAAATTAAACTGAAGATTATATTAATAAAATATTAACATTTTAAGAGTAATAGCATTTTAATAATAAAATAGATGTTAATTCTTCTAGAAAATATTAACAAAAATTGTTAAGGCTAAACACCTTCATGTTTTTTCATGAATTTAATTTATGAGGAATTCTGGTAAGACTTTCTTTCAAAATTTGTTCTCCTGTTTCTTGTGTGATATTCAGATTTATAAATTTTAGCATCTCATTGCCTCAACTAAAAGTATAGTTATAAATATAATAATAGCTTAGTTTTCAGAATTACCTAGTTAATTTCCTAGTTAATTGAAAATAATGTGGAATCATAGAAACAGCAGATGGATAATATGGGCTGGAAAAGAAAACCTTAATACTCTCAGATATAAGAAATACAAGGTTATCTGAAAATGTGTATTTAAATAGACAAATAAATTACACATTGTGGGATCAAATATGTAATCAATGATACTAATATATGGTACCACATGTCTACTGAACTCAATCCTATTTTATGATGCATTATTTTTGTAACTATTACATGTTGTTTAAGATGTTTATTCAACTCAACCTTATTTTCCCCCTAAATTAATGAGAATTTTATATCAAAGTACTGATAGATGATTACATAATTTGTACATTAATTTTATGTTCCAGTGTTTCATTTTTTATTTCTCAACATATAAAGCCCTTTCTTCAAAAAAATAATATTAACTGTTAAAATGCCACAATACAAATGTGATATTATTCAGATGTTAAATCTACTTGAATTATTAAGTGGTAGCCTGGTGTTTGATTGAGAGATAATGCTCGCTTTTTTTTCTTTTGCTTAATAACTATCCACTGCTGACCATTTTTGTCAACCAAGACCAACATGTAAACTGTAATATTTTCCATCTTGAGTTTATTGTTAAAGTGAATTTATAAGAGATTATTGCCAATGATTATGGGCTTCATGTATTCTTTTTAATTCTGTTTTTAATAAATAAATTTTCTATGACCTTCCTTAGCTAAAGCCCCTCGTTTTGTGCATGGACTTCCATCTGTCACCCACCATCTACTTGGGGACATCATACTTGGAAATGAAGAAATTAGACTATTGGAAATATAGAATGAGAAACTAAAAATTGAAATTAAATTATATCTCTTATAATAGCATAAAAATATGAAAGATTAAGAATTTCTAGATTAAGAACTACAAACATTGTGAAGAGATATTATTTAAAAACCTAAGTAAATGGAGACCTATACCACATTTGGGGATTGAAAGAAAAAAATATTTTAAGATATCAAGTTTTCTTCACAATAATTTATAGAATCAACACAATCCCAACCAAAATCCCATTTTTTTTTTGGTAGAAATTGACCACTTAATTATACAATTTATGTGGACAAAAATCAAAACACTTCTGAAAAAAAAGAAATAAACTGTAGGACATGGACTATTGGATTTTAAGATTTCCTACAAATGAAGACATTTTCAGGAAAATAAAAGCTAAGAAAATTCAAGGCAGTATTGTTTTGGAGGAAAAGGGACAAAAACATCGACAAAAGGATACAGAGTCCAGAAGTTAACCCACATATCAATTTATTAATTTTTGAAAATGTGCCAAAATAATTCAAAGTGGAAAGGATTGTCTTTTGAACAACAATGTCTGTAATAATTGAAATTCATATAAAAAAGAATCTTTACTCTTAATTCACGCTATATACAAAATTTACTTGAATGAAATAGACCTGCAATGAGACAAAAGTGAAACAATTTTCGTGAAGACATAAAAGAAAAATTATTGCATCTTGAGTTAGGCAAATGTTTATTAGAACAACAAAAAGCACAAAAACATAAAGGGGGAAATTAATAAATTAAACTTCATCGAAACTAAATGTCTACCTTTGAAAGGCACTATAAAAAACCATAAGCCATATATTGACAGAAAATACTTGCAAAACATCTATCTGTAAAGGACTTGTAAACCAGACTACAGGAAGAGCTCTTACAACTCAATAAGAAGAAAAACATCCCACTAAATTATAGGGCTAAAGATGTGAACAAAAGAGTATGTGTAGATAGCGAATAAACTCATGGAAAGATGCTGAGCATCATTAGAAAGGAAATGCAAATTAAACATAATGAGATACCTCTACACACCTGCTAAGATGCTTAAATTTAGAAATACTGGCAATTCCAAATCCTGGTGATGGTGCAGAGCAACTGCATCTCTCTTACCTTGTTTTGGGAATGCTGTATGGTACAGCACTTTGGAAACCATGTTGACTTTTTTTATGAAGATAATTGTACACTGAGCATAGGAACCAACAATTTCACTTGTAGGTATTTACCCAAGAAAAATGAAAAGATATGTCTACATAAAGACGTGTACACAAATAATTATGACTATTTTATTCATAATTATCCCAAACTAGAAACAACTCAAATGTCCATCAACATGTAAATGGCTAAACAAAGTGTAGTACCTCTACACAATGAAATGATGCTCAGTTTCAAAGGAAATGAACTACTGATATAACAATATGTATGAATCACTAAAGCCTTTTGCTAAGAGGCAGAAGCCAGATTTATAAGTCTACGTGTTTTATTATGGCATTTATATGACATTCTGTAAAAGACAAAACCATAGAGGCAGAAATCAGATTAGTGATTTCCAGAGGGCTTGGGAAGAGATTGACTACAAAGTGCAAGATATAACTTTCGGAGAGCTGGAAATAAATTTTGCTTGTGATATGGCCTCACTATCACATTCATTTGGCAACATTCAATCAACAGTGCACTTTTAAAAAGGTATATTAAATTAAAATAACCATAGTTCTTTTAAATTGGGAAAGGTGTTTCTAATCACCTGTGATATATATTTTGTATAGCCTTCCTTGTTTATTTATGATAATGGCCAAATGCCATTTTTACTTCAGACTGCAGAAGAATTCTAAAGGTAGTTATTTTATTTCCTATCATTTGGGAACTCACAATATAAAAGATGTCATTATAATAATACATTTCATTATTGTCAAGGATTCATGTTATGTCATGAAAAATCAGCAGTGTAATCAATGCTTTGGGGATGATGACACTACATATTTTTGTTATTTAAAATCATTATTTTTGGGGCAAAGGGAATGAGAGCATTAGGACAAATACCTAATGAATGTGGGTCTTAAAACCCAGATGACAGGTTGATAGGTGCAGAAAACCACCATGGCACATGTATACCTATGTAACAAATCTGCGCATCCTGCACACGTATCCCAGAACTTAAAGTAAAATAATAAAAAATAAAATAAAATAAAATCATTATTTACATTTCATTATTAGGATTCCTAAAATTAATTACGTAATGCTTTCTAAATTTAGACTGCCTTTTCAGTTTGTGCAACACAAGAAGCAAAGGGCTTTCTAATGTCTCCTACCACAAAATTTAAATAAAGAACAAAATGATTATTTAAGAAATTGATAGGTATTTGTTCTAAAATCAAATTTAACTTAAAATTATTTCATAATTTTGTATTTATCTGCAAGATTTAGGTTCACTGTACCTAAAAATTAGTTTAAGATTCAGATTAGGTTGCGTAAGTAAATAAGAATGAACTGTTGTAATTAAAAAGGGAAGATGAATGGGACTCTTCTTTTCAATTCTTCATATTTTCTCTACTACATATGCCAAAATTAAAAACAAAGTCAAAATATTTCTCTTTGAAAGGACATATGAAACATGCTGAGGTGATGATAAAGCAAAAAAGTAATGATTTTTAATTCTTTTTTTGAAAATCTGAAGTGCACTGCATGAAAATGAATCTTTTAAGTACTATCAGAAGTGTTTTCTTAAAATGTTTCTAAACTTTAAGCATTAAGGAAGGCAATCTGTTCACCAAGGAGTAGCCAGACGCATATTTAAGATCACCTCCCTTTTGAATCTCTTCTGCAAGTATTGATATGTTGAATCAGATATTGCAGAATGTATTGATTCTCATTATTTGGATAGATTTACCACAGACATTTCTTTGCCTCCTGGTTCCTGGTACTAAAAATATTTCCCTTTCTCTTATTTTCTAAAATGAAACTTAAAGATTAAATAGTATCTCAGTGCTTTGTTATTCATGGCTATGGTACAAAATACCTCATATAAAAGTATCATTGTCTCATTAACCACAATGAGATATAAAATCTTGTTTACAGTCTTAACCAAGAATGATGTGTAATATATCAATCACTGGTAAGAAAATGACGCATTTCTTGTTTAGGGTTAGATTTATTCTTTGATGTAGCTAGAATATTCTTTAGTAAAAAGCCTTACTTATTATCACTAACAAAGATTAAGCAAGAGCATGTAAATTCCCAAGAACATTTATTTTCATTAGTACTACTTTTGATGAATAAGATATATGAAGGGTTAAGACGGGGACATCTACTCAATTTCTTCCCCAAACATTTCCTTTAAATGTGAAGGAGAAAAGATTTTGTGATTTAACTAAGTATAGGACTGCAACTATCTTCTTAGCCTATTAGGCCAGGTATATAATTTAGAATATGTGTTGCAAGTGACAAAAAATGCAACTACAAAAATATGTAACATAGTCAAATGTGGCCTTAGTTTTAACCTTGTTGTCATAAAATATCAGTAGCTTTCAATTTATATTGTCACAAACCGGTAATAGTAAAAAATAAGCACCTGCCTCTTTTCTAGCACCCCCTGCCCACCTGCCCCCAAATCCTGTTTTCTTTCATTGCCCCTAATTGTACCATATGCCCATCCCTAAACCAATTAGAGCTTGGTTAATTGCAATACTCACTTCTAGAGAAGAGTGGAATCTACCACTGGAGCAGCACATAGACTGAATATATTCCCTAGAACAGTGTTCCCCATACTTTTTGGCACCAGGGACCGGTTTGTTGGAGGACAATTTTACCACAGACTGGGGCGGGTTGTGGGGGGGATGGTTTTGGGATGATTCAAGTGTGTTACATTTATTGTGCACTTTATTTCTATTATTATTACATTGTAATATATAATAAAATAATTATACAACTCACTATAAGGTAGAATCAGTGGGAGCCCTGAGCTTGTTTTCCTGTAACTAGACGGTCACATCTGGGGGTAATGGGAGATAGTAACAGATCATCAGGCATTAGATTCTCATAAGGAAGGCATGCAGCCTAAATCCCTTGCATGAGCAGTTCCCAGTAGGGTTCACCCTCCTATGAGAATCTAATGCTGCTGCTGCTCTGACAGGAGGCGATGCTCAGGCAGTAATGCCAGCAATAGGGAGCAGCTCTAAATACAGATGAAGCTTTGCTCACTCACCCGCCTGCTGCTCACCTCCTGCCGTGCAGCCTGGTTCCAGCACTGGTCTGTGGCCCAGCAGTTAGAGACCCCTTCCCTAGGGGGTATTCCCCAGAGAGGATATCAGTCAGAAGTTACAAGAAATGATGTGAAACAGCAGTTAACTATTCTGGGCACTTACTATGTGCTAGGCCATTTTATAATTGGGTTACAGGTGGTCTTAGTTAATGTTCAGAAAAACCCTTTTAGTTTACTTAATGTTCAGAAAAAAACCTCTTTTATTACAATGAGCAAACTGACAATTGAGGAATATAATAAATTGCCTGAGGTTGTATGGCTAGTAAGTAACAGAACTTCTATTCCAACCCAGGCAATCTAGCTTCAGAGACAAAATACCTAGATTTTCTTTGGAAAGTATAGTGTAAAAGTTATATATAAAAAGAACATATTAATTTCTAATGCAATACAGAAAGAAGGGAAAAGAGTGAGGGAATTAGTGAAGGCCTTGAGAGTGTCTATATAGATATAAACTCATAAAAGCCCAGGAATAAAGGAAAGACCAGGAGAATAAAGTGTACTCTGTAATCTCACTTCCCCAGCTAATTCACATTCTACTGTTTGGGAATAATCTCCAGCTCCTTTACTCAGGAAATTTATTAAACTTCCATGAGATACAGACTAAATTGATCTTGGAGAGGTTTGGGGAGTGAAAAGTTAGGCAGGATTTATACCATTAAAGGGTAGAGTCATCACCCATATTCTGGACCAGTCAACATCTAGAGATGAAGCAGCTGCAGAATAAGTTAATACCAGAATTCACTCTCCCTAGGAGATAGCATGGCATACTAATTGTGGGACCAACAAAATTAAATCTAATTATAAAGATTAAATTTGTTTCATGTAGGAAACATGTATATCTCTCAACTACTAATGTCTCTGACAAGCTTTCAAGGTACGTCGTAAACTAATACTGTCTTTGAAATTCCTGGTTACCACTCGCTTTGCCCCAGAATATAGAATGTGCTTCATTTAGATCAAGCTCCTAATTCACCCTACAATAGATCCTAGCAATATCTACTTTGATGACTTACCTCGTTTTTAAATTTTTTTTCTTGGAGTGCACTTGCTTGCTCTATTCAAATTCTATGATTTTTGAGGTCCATTGGACATCTCTAATTCTGTTACAAATAAATTGCTTTTAAATATGTCTGTTCCTTCTGTCTTATAATATCTATACTTATTGCCATGCTATTTATTATTTATAATAATGCAGTGTAGATTGAGAATATAAATAATATTTTATATGTAATTTTTAGTCCTTCCAAATAAAGTTGCTAGGAAAACTGTCAAGTTAATAGGTAAGAGTCCTTAATTATAATATGCAACATGCACCTCAAAGTGTTTTTATCTTGACACTTTGGAAATTAATCATCATGATGATCATACAATATAGATAGAATATAACTGAATCTATGTATGTTCCACTAAGTCTTACCATTTTTTTTTTTTGAGACAGAGTCTCATTCTGTTGCCCAGGCCGGGGTGCAATGGCATGATGTCAGCTCACTGCAACCTCTGCCTCCCGGATTCAAGCGATTCTCCTGCTTCAACCTCCCGAGTAGCTAGGACTACAGGTGCAGGCCACCAGTCCTTGCTAATTTTTGTATTTTTTTAGTAGAGACAGGGTTTCACCATGTTGGTCAGGCTGGTATCAAACTCCTGACCTTTGATCCACCCGCCTTGGCCTCCCAAAGTGCTGGGATTATAGGCGAGAGCCACTGTGCCCAGCCTAAGTCTTATGAAATATTAATACATAATTTTACTTCTTTTTTGCAAAATTTTGCCAATTTTTCTACTTTTGTGAAAGTGGAATGCTATACATACATTTGAAATCTACTTTTTTTCTCTCCACAGTTCCTTTATCCTTTTATTATGTATTCGCTATTATTTCAGGTCATGATTATTGTAGAAATCAGATTACTTAATTCACATAGCATTGATTTTATGGTTTTACAACAAATATAGTTAGCTAGCTAGCAAGATAGACAAATTTGTGGCAATATATCTATATATTTATTGTACATATAGCTATCCACACACATATATTACATATATCTATTCATATAATGATATAATATATACACACGTATCTATTCATATATAATATATGATATATATTATATATGTTACATGTTATTACATATTATATATGTTATTATATAGTACTTTTACAGTACTCATGATCTGAAATGAAATGAGATATATGCACACACATATATACATATACCTTTTATATATGTTATGCATATCTATATATCTATATGAATATATAAATATGTATATATCTCCTATATACTTGAAGAAGAGTATGTATATACATACATATTCTTACATATGTATATATTGATACATATATGTATAAATGTGTACATATATGCATACATATACATATGCATGAGTGTTTTTTCTAAATTTCACTTTTTTTACTATTTCAAACAATTCTACACCTAACATCTGTTTCAGCCCTTGTGTAGATGTTGCAAGTGTTTCTAGAAGGAGAATGGCTACCAGGATTGTATTAGTTATAAGCATTGTAAATATATCTTTCTCAGACTATGTTTTACTTTTAACTCTATGGGGTAATTTTGTTTGTCTCCTTTAAAAAAATTATCTGCATTGATGTCATAACGTTGCTTTCATATATTTTCTTATAAATGTTTCAATATTTTCATTTTCACATATAGGTATTTAACCCATCTGGAATTTATTTCAGGCATGGTAAGAGGTAGGCATCTAATTTATCATTCTCCATGTGGAGAGCCAGTTGTCCTAGCATCATTTTTAGGAAGAGGCATCTTTTCTTTGCTGATGCATAATACTTTTTCTGCCAAGGCCACCTTTCAATATATTCAGAGGTCTGTTTGTATCACATCCGCATTATTTTTTGTCTTTTGCTAGTCTATTTTGTAGCAAATATATATGTTATATGTATATATATAAAATATGTATTTTATATATATTAAAAAATATATATGTATTTGACTAACACTACTTTGAAACCACATTGTTTTAATTAGTCAATACATTTTGAACTCTGATGGACAAGTTTTGGTTGCTTACTACTTTTTAATATTGTCTTGGCTACTCTTGTATTCCTTCATAAGCCTTTTAGATAGCTTGGTAAGAATTGTTAAAAACCCTGCTGAGATTTTTTTGGAACTACATTAAATATGTCACTTAATTTAGGGAAAATTGTTATCTCCAAATAGACATTTGATAGGATTATTTCTAGATATGTTATACCAACTTAGATCTATAGAATAGGATTTTAAAAATTATATTATCTAATTTGTTGTTCCTGATATATGAAATTTTATTACATTTTGTACATAGATTCTATAGCTAAAGATACTGCTGAAATGTCTCATGAATCTCTATTTTTTTGTTGATTCTTTTGAATTTTCTGTTATAAGAATGAATAATCACTGTTTTGTTTTTTTAGCTTTCAATCCTTAAACCTCATTTCTTTCACTAATTGATTACATT
This sequence comes from Homo sapiens, assembly GCF_000001405.40. Taxonomy (NCBI): domain Eukaryota; kingdom Metazoa; phylum Chordata; class Mammalia; order Primates; family Hominidae; genus Homo; species Homo sapiens. The sequence goes on from NC_000002.12 coordinate 154,928,245, forward strand.
AATAAGATTATTATCTATTATCTTATTAATAAGAATAATATTATCTGCATTGATGTCATAACATTGCTTTCATATATTTTCTTATAAATGTTTTAATATTTTCATTTTCACGTATAGGTATTTAACCCTCTTTATATAATTTTGAAAAGGTATATCTTCCTAGGAAGCAATTCTTTTTTCCAAAGGTATTTTTGAAAGGTGGTTCATAGTAATTTCATATGACAACTGTCTTTTATTATGTTGATTTTTATTTCTAACAGTATTTTTTACTTTTTATTGAAGAATGATTTAAATCAATGATGTATATCAATACACCAGTCATAGGTGTATGCTTTGAAGAATTTTTAGATCTGGGTACACTCTTTTAAATATCACACAGATAAAGGTATAAAATATTTCGGCTCCCCAGAAAACTTCCTTATTCCTCTCACAGTCAATACTATCCCTCTACACACCAGTGTAACTGTTATTTGGACTTCTAATACCGTAGGTTTGTTTTGGTTATTCTTGAACTTCATATAAACAGAAACACAAAAAATAAATAATTTTGTCTAATTTCTTTCATTCAACATTTTATCTGAGATTATTGATACATGTTGCATGTAAAAATAGTTCCTTTAAAAAATTCTGGCTGGGCGTGGTGGGTCACACCTGTAATCCCAGCACTTTGGGAGGCTGAGGTGGGTGGATCACCTGAGATCAGGAGTTCAAGACCAGCCTGGCCAAAATGGCTAAATCCTGTCTCTACTAAAAATACAAAAATTAGCCAGCCATGGTGTGGGCACCTGTAATCCCAGCCACTCAGGAGGCTGAGGCAGGAGAATCGTTTGAACTTGAGAGGCAGACGTTGCAGTGAGCTGAGATCACACCACTGCACTCCAATCTGAGCAACAAAGCGAGATTCTGTCTCAAGAAAAACAAAATTCTTTGTAAGTGTTATATAATATTGTATCTCATTTCTTCTAATTAATTTTGATGAATACTTGGTTGATTTTCAGTTTTTAATTATTATGAATAAGGCTGGTAGAATCTTTTAATGGACACATTAACTCATTAATCTTGAGTATCTCAAGAGCATAATTGATGCATTATAAAGATCATAAGTTATATGAAGGTTTGACTTTTTAGCTACTGCTAACTTTTTAAGTGGCTGAACCTATTTAAAATCCTTCCAGAAATATGACACTTCTAGATGTCTACATTCTTGGCATACACTGGAAATTACTAGTCTTTTAATTATAGTTGTTCTGATATGACGATCCCCTTCTGGTTTTACTTTGCATTTCCTGAGGCCTAATGAGGTTGCACATATTTTCACTTGCATATTGGATAATTTTATAAATATATTTTATTCAAGTGCATTTACTGCAAGTCGGTGACTTTCCTTCTCACTTTCTTATTATTATCATTTGATAAGCAGAAATTAATTTTTGTTTTCCTTTTTTTCTTTTCCTTTTTTTTTTTTGGAGACAGAGTCTCACTCTGTCACCCAGGCTGGAGTGCAGTGGCGCAATCTGGGCTCACTGCAAGCTCTGCCTCCTGGGTTCACGCCATTCTCCTGCGTCAGACTCCCGAGTAGCTGGGACTACAGGCACCCACCACCACGCCCAGTTAATTTTTGTATTTTTAGTAGGGACGGGGTTTCACCACGTTAGCCAGGATGGTCTTGATCTCCTGACCTCGTGATCCGCCCGCCTCGGCCTCCCAAAGTGCTGGGATCACAGGTGTGAGCCACCGCGCCCAGCCTGTTTTCCCTTTATGGTTGATACTACCCGTGTTTTTTTGTTGCTGTTGTTTGTTTTTTGTTTTAAATGTTGCTATCTCAAGGTCATGAGTGTGTTTTGTTGCACTAGGCTTTCTTCTAGCTCCTAATCGTTTTACCTTTACATTTAGTTCAAAATTCATCTCAAATTAATTTTTAGGTATGATTTGAGGTAATGGACACAGGATTTTTTAATGGATATTTAATTGACTGAGCACCACACACCATTCTTTTGTAAAGAACATTCTTTCCTTGTTGATTTGCAGAGATTTTGTTTTTTGTCATAAATCAAGATACTTGATATGTGTGGACTTATTTACAGTCTCTCTTCTGTTCTTACACCAAAATCATCCTACTTTAAATAAATAATATTGAAAAAATTTAGATATCCAGTATGGAAACTCTTTCCCATTGTTATCCCTCTAAAATAATTTAGGTTTCTTGTTTTCTTAATCAGTTTTACCATAAATGTTTCTCTCTCATGAGTGTTTTTAAGGAGGATTGTTCCTGATTTACCCATCATTATCACGATTTTCAAATTTTTCTATTTTTTTCCCCAACTTTTAGGTTCGGGGGTACATGTGCAGGTTTGCTACATGGTAAATTTCATGTCACGGGGGTTTTGTATACAGATTTTTTTTGTCACCTAGGTAATGAGTATAGTACTCAATTTGTAGTTTTTAGATCCTTACCCTCCTACCATCCTCCACCTTCAAGTAGGCCCTGATGTCTATTGTTCCCTTCCTCATGTCCATGTGTACTCAGTGTTTAGCTCCCACTTATAAGTAAGAACATGCAGTATTTGGTTTTTGGTTCTTGCATTAATTTGCTTAGGTTAATGGCCTCCAGTTCCATCCATGATGCTGCAAAGGAGATGATTTTGTTCTTTTTTATTGTTGGTTAGTATTCCATGGTGTATATGTACCACATTTTTTTAATCCACTTCACAATTGATGGGCGTCTAAGTTGATTCTATGTCTTTGCTATTGTGAGTAGTGCTATGATGAACATACACATGCATGTGTCTTAGGAGGCCATTATCCTAAGCAAATTAATGGTAAAATAATTTATGTCTTGGGAGGTATATACCCAATAATAGGATTGCTTAGTTGGATGGTAGTTCTGCTTTAAGTTCTTTGAGAAACTGCCACAATGCTTTCCACAGGGGCTGAACTAATTTACATTTCGACTAGCAGCATAGACATGTCCCCTTTTTTCTGCAACCTTGCCACCTTCTGTTATTTTTATTTTTAGTAATAGCCATTCTGACTGGTGTGGTGTGGTTTTTATTTGCATTCCTTTAATGATGAATGATGTTGAGCATTTTTTCATATGATTGTTGGCCACATGCATGTCTTCCTTTGAAGTAACACTTCATGTCTTCGCCCATTTTTTAAATGGGATTTTTTGGTTTTTGCTTGCTATGTTGTTTAAATTCCTTATAAATTCTGAATATTAGAACTTTGTCTGATGCATAGTTTGCAAATATATTCTCTCATTCTGTAGGTTGGTGGTCCTCAACTTATTTGGCACCAGGGGCTGCTTTCATGGAAGACAATTTTTCCATGGTTTATAGGGGGTAGGGTTGGTTTCAGGATAAAACTGTTCCACCTCAGATCATTAGGAATTAGAGTCTCATAAGGAGCACACAATTTAGATACCATGCATGTACAGTTCACAATAGGGTCCGAGCTCCAATGAGAATCTAATGCTGCCACTGATCTTACATGAGGTGGAGCTCAGGCAGTAATGCTCACTCGCCATTGAAGATCAGATGGATGTAGGTGGGCAGCTTTTTTTCTGGGCTCTCTAACCTGTTACATTGGTCTGTGTGTCTGTTTTGCACCAGTACCATGCTGTCTTTGTTACGGTAGCCTTGTGTAGTTTGAATTTGGGTACTGTGATGCCTCCAGCTTTGTTCTTTTTACTTAGGAATTCTTTGGCTATTTGGGCTTTTTTGGTTTCAAATGAATTTTAAGATAGTTTTTTTCTAGTTTTGTGAAAAATGTATTTGGTAGTTTGATAGGATCTCTTTGGGGATTATTGCCATTTTAACAATATTGATTATTCTCATCCACGAGCATGGAATGTTTTCTATTTGATGGTGTTGTCTCTGCCTGCTTTCAGCACTGTTTTGTAATTATTCTTGTAGAGATTTTTTACCTCTCTGGTTAGCTGTATTTCTAGTTATTTTGTTATTTTTGTGGCTCTTATGAATGGGATTGCATTCTTGATATGGCTCTCAGCTTGGATGTTATTGGTGTGTAGAAATGCTACTGATTTTTGAAAACTGATTTTGTACCTTGAAACTTCACTGCAGTTATTTATCATATCTATGAGGCTTTGGGCCGAGAGTATGGGGTTTTCTAGGTATGAAATCATATCATCTTGAAAGAGAGAGAGTTTGACTTCCTCTCTTCCTATTTGGATGCCTTTTATTTCTTTTATCTTGTCTGATTTCTCTGGTTGGGATTTCCAATACTGTGTTAAATAGGAGTGGGGAAAGTGGGCTACCTTGTGTTGTTCTGTTTCTCAAGGGGAATGCTGCCAGCTTTTGCCTGTTCCATATGATGTTTGCTATGAATTTGTTATAGATGGCTCCTATTATTTTGAGGTATATTCCTTCAATGCCTAGTTTGTTGAGGGCTTTTTTTTTTTTTAACAAGAAGGGGTATGGACTTTTATCAAAGCCTTTTCTGCTTCTATTGAGATATCATGTGGTTTTTGCTTTTAGTTTTATTTATGTAATGAATCACGTTTATTAATTTGCATATGTTGAACACAAAGGATGCTTCCATCCCAGGAGTAAAGCCTATTTGATCATGGTGGATTAGCTTTTTGGTGTGGAACTGGATTCAATTTGCTAGTATTTTGTTGACAACGTTTGCATGCATCAGGAATATTTGCTTGAAATTTTCTTTTTTAGTTGTGTCTCTGCCAGGTTTTGGTATTACGATGATGCTGGCCTCATAAAATGAGGAAGAATCCCTCCTCCTCAATTTTTTGTAATATTTTCAATAGGATTGGTCTCATCTCTCCTCTACATATCTGGTAGAACTTGAACCTGCTATGAATCTATCTGGTCTAGTGTTTTCTTGTTGGTAAGTTTTTTTTTTTTTTTAATTGCTGATGCAATTTGGGAACTCATTATTTGTCTTTTTAGGATTTCAATTGTTTTCCGGGTCAAACTTGGGAGGTTGTATGTTTCTAGGGGTTTGTCCATTTCTTTTAGGATTATTGTTTGTGTGCATGGGAATATTTGTAATAGTGTCTAAGGGATTTTTGTATTTCTGTGGGGGTAGTGATCATGTCTCGTTCGTCACTTCTGATTGTATTCATTTGGATCTTCTCTCTCTTTTTTTTTAATTAATCTAGCTAGTGGTCTGTCGATCTTAAAAAACTAACTTTTGATTTTGTTGATCTTTTGTATGATTTTTTGTATCTGAATTTTGTTCAGTTCAGCTCTGATTTTGGTTATTTCTTTTCTTCTGCCAGCTGTAGGACTGATTTGCTCTTGGTTTTCTGGCTCCTCTAGGTATGGTGCTAGGTTGTTGAGAGCTTTCTAACTTTTTGATACAGGCAATTAGCACCAAAAAACTTCACTTTTAGCACCACTTTAGTTGTGTACGAGAGATTCTGGTAGGTTCTATCTTTCTTCTTATTAGTTTCAAATAATGTTTTGATTTCAGCCTTAATTTTATTGTTTACTCAAAAGTAATGCAGAAACAGGTTGCTTACTTTCCATGTAATTTTATGTTTTTGAGAGATCTTCTAGTACAGATTTTTATTTTTACTGCACTGTGGTCCAAGCATGTATTTGGTATGATTTGTTTTTTTTTTTTAATTTTGTTAACAATTGCTTTATGTCTGAGTATGTGTTTGATTTATAATATTTGCCATCTGCAGGTCAGAAGAATGTATATTTTATCTTTCTTGTAGCTGTCTGTTAGGTTCTATAGCTGTAGCTGTCTGTTAGGTCCATTTGGTCAACTGTTAACTTTACATCCTGAATGTCTTTGTTATTATTCTTCCTTTTTGATTTGTCTAATACTGTCAGTGGGGTGTTGAAGTGTCCAACTATTATTGTGTAATTAGCTAAGCTTCTTCTTAAGTCTCTAAAATGCTTTTAATGAATCTTGGTGCTTCAATGTTGACTGCAAATATATTTAGGATAGTTAAGTCTTCTTGTTGAATTTAACCTTTATCATTATATAATGTTCTTTTTTGTATTTTTGGATCATTGTTGGTTTAAAGTCTGTTTTGTCTTTAATAACAATGGCATTCCCTTCTTTTTTTGTTTGTTTTTGTTTTCTGTGTGTTTGGTAGATTTTTCTCCATCCCTTTACTTTGAGCCTGTAGACATCATTGCATGTGAAATAGGTCTCTTGAAGACAGCACACAGTTGGATTTGCTTCTTTATCCAGCTTGCTACCTTGTGTCTTTTAATTAGGGGCAGTTAGCACCTTTATTTTCAAGGTTAATATTGATATGTGAAAATTTGATCCTGTCATTGTGTTGTTAGCTGATTATTATGTAGACCTGATTGTGTAGTTGCTTTGTAGTGTCAATGGTCTGTGTACTTAAGTGTGTTTTTGTGATGGCCGATAATGGCCTTTCATTTCCATGTTTAGCACTTCCTGAATCACCTTTTGTAAGGTAGGTCTATTGGTAACAAATTCCCCTAGCATTTCCTGCACTGAAAAGAATTTTATTTATATTTTGCTTCTGAAGCTTAGCTTAGCTGGAAATGAAATTCATAGTTGGAATTTATTTTCTTTAAGAATGCTGAATGTAGATCCTCAATCTCTTCTGACTTGCAGGGTTTATGCTAAAAGGTCTTCTGTTAGCCTAATAAGGTTTGTAGATAACCTGCCCCTTCTCTCTAGCATCCTTTAATAGTTTTTCTTTTGTGTTGACCTTGGAGAATCTGATGACTATGTCTTGGGTCAAGTTCATGCTAGGGGGGCATGAACCTTTCCAGCAGTTAGTTGGGGATCAGTCAGTGAATGAGCTATGGTAGTAGCAGCTGGAAAGCACCCTAACTGGGCATCTGAGGCTGAGCTGCAAGTGAGCACACCCAGCTAGGAACTAGGGAGAGGCATACAGACTGGGGTCACTCAGAACAGACTGGCACAATCTCACAGGCAAGAAAGCTCTGCTCTGTCCAAATTCACACAGCCTGAGTTCTGTCTCTGCCACCTCTCTAAGCATCTTTCCCTGCCAGCTCAAATGTCCATGAGGATTGAGGGGTCTCTTGCAGCTAGAATTCTGGAGCTCTGTGGTAACAGTGGGCCATTCCTTGACTATTTAACTCAACCCTTCCCTAGGAGCCACTGGGGGCCGGGAATGAGTCCTGGTGCTTGGCAACCCTATGCAGGGTTCCCAGCTTTTCTCCCCCTTCAGCCTAGGGTCTGCATCCTCCCTCTGTCTGCTCTCAATGCCTTCCCTCCAAAGATCTGCACAGAGTGTGCTGGTTTATTGAAGGTATTTTCTCACAGTGGTAGATGCTCTTCCTGGCTGTGTCTAGTTGGCCATCTTGGTCAATTTTTATATTTTAATTATTTATACAGATATCATTATTTCCCTTCTTTGTGTTTATATGTTACACTAGTTTTCTGTCACTGCTGTAACAAAATACTATAAATGTAGTGGCTTAAAGCCATTCACATTAAGTTCTGTAGGACAGAAATCAGAGTAAATTTCACTGGTTCCTCTTCTGTAGGTTTTACATGGCCAAAATTAATGTATTGGCTCACCTGGGTTATTATCTGGGGAGAAATTTCATCTAAGCTGTTCCATGTTGTTTGCAGAAATCAGTTTCTTGTGGCAGTGGGACTGTGGTCTTTATTTCCTTGCTGTCTGTCAGCAGGGAGCCTCTCTCAGCACTTAATGCCAGAGCTGCATTGCTGTTATATTGCCCTCTTCATCTTCAAACCAGCAATAGCATGTCAAGTCCTTCTGGTGCTCAAATCTCTCTGACTTCTTCTTCTGCCCCATTTCTTCTTCTTCCGGAAAGTTCTTTACATTTTGGGGCTCAGAAGAAAAAGACCACATGTTGTACAATTTCATCTGCATAAAACATTAGAAAAATAAAATGCATAGTTATAGAAAGCAGATAGGGAGTTGCCTGGGCCACAGGTGGGTATTAAGATTGATTGAACAGGGATATAAGAGAACATTCCAAGGTGATAGGAATCTTCTCTATCTTGTTTATGTTAGAGATTAAATTATGTGTGCATTTGACAAAATTATTGAACTGTACACAAAAATGGATTTAATTTATAAAATGCATCTTGTATTTCAATAAAGTTTGTGTCAAAAATATAGTTCTCCATTGTTTAGATAAGCGATGTCAAGTTCAGTCATTTGTTTAAGGAGGTTTGTAAGAATATATTAGAGAAGAAAGGTAGCTGATTACTATGCTTTAACTTTGTCTCATCTCTCTGCTGAGTCCCAGGAGAGAGAAAAGACACAAGAAAATCATTCTGAAAATTTGGAGTTCTGAGAGAAACAAATACCTGTACTAGGTTATGCATTTCCTATGCCTTTCTGTCTGAAATTTGTCTTTTGAATGATGCACTTAGAAGAGCTTTTGCTCAGTTGTAGTGGCTTTTATGGCAAGAAATGCATAGCATTTTAAGATAAGAATAGCCTCTGAGAGGGTGAATTTCAACTCTTCATATGTGTTCTGCAAAACGTTTTACTTTTGTTATAACTATAATATTCATGGGTTTCATGGTCAATGACAAATTTTGCCCCAATAGTTACCATGTTATATTTTCTGAATTAATTCTTTCAGAAGATTTCCTTTGATCTGATGCTTACACTCTGTAGACACTAAATAGTTTTAAAACTTCTAAAATGGTAGTAAAACATATATAACATAAAATTTAACATTTTAACAATTTTCAAGTGTCAGTTTCAGTGACATTAAGTAAATTCACACTGTAGTGCAACCATCACCACTACCCATCTCCAGAACGTTTTTATCTTCCCAAACTGAAGTTTCATACACATTAAACAATAACTTGCCAAGCCAGCTTCCCCCAGCTTCTGGCCATCATCGTTCTACTTTATGTCTTCATGAATCTGTCTATTCTAGGCAGCTCAAATAAATGGAATCCTGCAACATTTTTTTCCTTTGTTACTCGTTTATTTTACTTCATGTGATATCTTCAAACTTCATCCATATTGAGGCATGTGTTAGAACTGTCTTCCTTTTTCAGGCTGAATAATATTTCATTGTCTGTACATACCACATTTCATTTATTTATTCATCCACTGATGGACTCTAGGATTGCTTCTCCGTTTTGGTTACTGTGAATAATGCTTCTATGATCATTGGTATACAAATCTCTGGCCCACCCCTGCTTTCAATTCTTTTGGGTTTATGTTCAGATATGGTATTGCTAGATCACATGGTAATTTTATGTTTAATTTTTTGGTGAACAACCATTCCATTTTCCACAGTGGCTGCCCCATTTTAGATTCCCACCAGCAATGCACAAGGGTTCCAACTTACTTACATCTTTGCCAACACTTGTTATTTTATCTTGTTTTTGTGTGTATGTGTGTGTTTTTAAAAATCTATCTTAGCCATTCTCATGGACTTGATTTGCATATCCCTAAGGCAAATCCCTACTGATGGTAAGCACATTTTCATGTACTGGTTGCTCATTTGTCTATCTTCTTCTTTGGAGAAATGTCTATCCATCCTTTAGGCCAGTTTTAAATCAGTTTTTTTTTTTGTTACTACTGAGTTGTAAGAGTTTTAAAATATATTGTGGATATTAATCCCTTATCACATATATCATTTGCAAATATTTTATTATACTATGTGGGTTGCTTTTTTATTCTGTTGCTTATGAGCTAATGCACAAATGTTTTAAATTTTGAGACATTAGATTTTGATGGTCTAATTTTTTCAATTTTAACATTTTTTACATATGATTTTAGTGTTATATCCAAGAAATTTTAAACAATTTTAATTGAACTGAATATATGTATTCATATGTTCATATAAAAACTAAAATTTTTATATGTATATTCAGTTCAATTAAAAATTATATATTTATTATATATACATATATTGTAAAAATTATAATATATAAATATGTATTCATATTATATATTTATATATAAATAATATACATTCATATTATATATTTATATATAAATAATATATATTCATATTATATATTTATATATAAATATATAATATATTTATGTATAAATAATATATATATTCATATTATATATTTCTATATAAATAATATATATATTCATATTATATATTTATATATAAATATATAATATATTTATATATAAATATATAATATATTTATATATAATATATATATTCATATTATATATTTATATATAAATATATAATATATTTATATATAAATAATATATATATTCATATTATATATTTATATATAAATAATATATATTCATATTATATATTTATATATAAATAATATATATTCATATTATATACTTATATATAAATAATATATATTCATATTATATACTTATATATAAATAATATATATTCATATTATATATTTATATAAAAATAATATATATTCATATTATATATTTATATATAATATATATATTCATATTATATATTTATATATTCTATATATTCATATTATATATTTATATATAAATAATGTATATTCATATTATATATTTATATATAAATAATGTATATTCATATTATATATTTATATATAAATATATATTCATATTATATATTTATATATAAATATATATTCATATTATATATTTATATATAAATATATATTCATATTATATATTTATATAAAATATATATATTCATATTATATTTATATATAAATATATATATTCATATATATATTTATATATAATATATATATTCATATTATATATTTATATATAATATATATATTCATATTATATATTTATATATAAATAATATATATATTCATATTATATATTTATATATAAATAATGTATATTCATATTATATATTTATATATAAATAATGTATATTCATATTATATATTTATATATAAATATATATATTCATATTATATATTTGTATATAAATATATATTCATATTATATATTTGTATATATATTCATATATATTTATATATAAATATATAATATTCATATTATATATAAATATATATATTCATATTATATATTTATATATATAAATAATATATATTCATATTATTTATATATATAAATAATATATATTCATATTATTTATATATATAAATAATATATATTCATATTATTTATATATATGAATAATATATATTCATATTATATATTTATATACATAAAGGAATGTGAAGCTATTTATTGACTACTGTACACCAGTATTTAAAATAAAGAATATACAGCTGGATAACATCCTGATTATTACAAAAGTATTGTTTTCCTTGATTTTCTTGGCTTCTGCTAAACCAGTAACCCAAATACTGAAAAAAATGAGCCTACATGTAAGGAATGAGTTGGGTAAAGGAAAACACATGCAGGTCAATTGTTTACATTATACACGTCTCTTTACCCATTTATGCCAGCAGGTCCTAACTGCCTTTTCTAAACTTATCTGATTAGTTTTCCATGAGCCAAGACTGAGACATTCCACAAATCATGATGTTTTAATCAATACAGCACAAGGATTACAGCTTTTTCTAAAGGAAAGGCTTATTAGAGGAATCTTTAAATATGTCTATTTGACTAACACTTGCTTAGCCAATTAAAACAGCAAGATTTGTCTAGTTTCCTTGTCTAAGTGAGGAGGTTGTTGGTAGTAATAAAAAATCTTCCGTTTAGAAATTTGGAAAACAAAGAATCACATTTATATGAATATAGGTAGAAATGTGTGTTCTGATGTGGATGCTTTTAAATTATCCAGTTAATTATAGAATCATCTATGTAATTTGAAATATTACGACTTCAGGAAAAATTTCAATTTAACTTGAAGTGATTTATTTCTTAGGTTGCACAGAATTATGGCATCCCAGGACCATGGGCATACCCATGGTTTTTGTTTTGATGAAAGTTTAAAAATAAACCAAGAAAGAAAACCATTTACATTTGTATTTTAAGCATAAACACACAAAACATAAAACTCAGAATGGTTCTTAGGCATACGAATTAAACACAAGTACTGATTGTATAATGACTAAGGAAGTTTCCCTCAACATTAACAACGCTGTTCTCTAGTGCAGAGGACAAAATATGCCATGGTATCAAATGTTCTTTTCTGATAAAGAAAGCAACTACAGAAAGTTTCGTTTATTTGTTGAAATTAACCAATGTGATTGATGCAAAAAAAAAAAAATCTCCTGGCAAATCTCCCAATACTACTTTGAAAACAAACATATCAAACTTGGTTTTCATTAGAATGTAGAGATTTCTTCACATTAGTAAATTAAAAAAACCAAGATCCAGATTATATATATATATATATATATATATATATATATATATATCATACATATGTAAAATGCAATGCAAACAATTGTTGAGCTTCATCTTCTCGTCAAGAATGTCAAGGCAATCGCTCTTCATAAGAAGCAATTACAATTTGATGACTCCTCATGTTTGTCTCTTTTGCCTGCAGCAAGTCTGCCTTATCTGAATATTCCCATTCCAGGAGAAATATCCATTCACCACTTCTCTCTGTGGCAATTTTTCTTTCTGGATCATGACCTCTGGCGAAGCCTCTTGGTTTGTCAGCAGCATCTCTTTTCTTTGACTTGCTATCATCAGATTCACTGTCAGATAAACATTTCCTTTTTGTATCATCTTTTTCTTTGCCAGCTTTTTGAGAGTTAAGAAATGTTTCAATTAACTCTTGACATTCTAAGTAGTCTTCTGGTTCCCAAGTACTGTCAGCATTTGTAAATCCCTTCCACTCTGGGAAATACTCCAGCTTCCTATTTGCTACTTCCACCACAAATTCTTCAGTCTCTGCCTCTTTGACTTTTCTACATTTCCCATTCTGTTACTTTCCCATTTTTTTTGCAATGTAGTTTTATTGGAGGTCATTTTTTATTGCAGGCTTGAAGAGCTATTCACTGCCTCTGAGCTGCTCCAGTTTCTGGCCCTGCACGCCTCACATACATATGTTCTTATACAGCACTGTGGAAAACATTTGAATTTCACTTGGCATGAATGTAAAACTTAGGAGTTAAGTCTCTCCGAATTATTTTCTAGACAGTCCAGGCAAAATAAACTGTTTTGTCTGATTTTAAATCAATCCTGAACTGAAACACTGGCATTAAAATTAGTAATGCCTGGCTAGGACATAATTATCAAGATATGTAGTCCAGAATTCATGATTAAGGTGTGTGTGTCTAAGTCATTATGAAAATATTGAGACAAAATTAAGTATATTCATAAATAATTGAAAACCCTTAGGCATATGTTCACTCATGTCATTCATGTTTAAATATCTTATTCCAGTTGACTAATGATAAGTAAAGGAATCCCTTATAGCAAAATATGTTGATATACCTGAACACTGATGGAGTCATCAATGTCTGTTTAATGAAAGGCTTTGAATGTACTCACTATAGTCCCTTCCAGAGGAGACTCTTCTGTGTTTAGAGAATGAAAGCTGTGCCATCAACATGTCCCTTACCTTTCAAACATGCTGGGAAACAGCAATGGTGGCTTAACATATTGAAAAGTATGAATCTATCAATGTATATGTAGAGTCACTTATTCCACTAAATCACTCTTTATCTTTATCCTCATAATGTCTTTAATTTCCTTTAAAACCTATTAAATATTATTGCATCAGAATTTACAACAATTACATATTTTAGGCATATAGTTTATTATGTGATACGCTACATATTTATACAACATTTAAAGAAATGCATGCAACCACTTCAGGTTTTACAGAAACATGATTTTATGGTGCTGAATTTAAATGTAAATACAGAACTTAATGCAGGATGCTTTAAAAATAGAATTGTAGCCTTTACTTTTAGTCCATTTATAAGCAATGTTCTTTTATAGGTATATTATTTTGGCATCACCAAAATTATGTGTTTTGGTATAAGCATAACTCATATTTATGATACACATGTTCTACCCAATATAATAGGTAATATAATTCTAAATATGATAATTTAAAATATTGGATACATAGCCTACAAATGACCAGTGAACAGTGATTGTCATTCTCTTCTAAGTTTGTATTTTTCTCTCAGTTGATGATTCAAGTATCTCATTATCACCCATCTGTTAAATTAACTTTACTTATAATTAATGTCATCTCCAATGAAAACCTCCTACACTTAAATAGAACAATGTATTAAAAACCACAAGTTTTTTTTAATAAATGAAAACTACTTCAAGTTAAAATTTGAAGCAATATGCAGAACATCATTTCCTGTTAGTAGGTTGCATACAAATTAAAAAAAAAATGAATCAGAATGGCTTGAATCCTCACCATGCTAAACAGAAGACATGAATGAGGGTGCGATAACTCTATAACCTCTGTGTTAATGCTGACTTTCAGCTCAAATTTCTGTCTGGAGAAACCCAAAATTCTGTGATGATGTTAATGTTAGGGATAGAAATCCCAAAACAAGCTGCTTAGATTATTTCAAAGTTTTACACAAGACAATGGGAATGTGACTTTCCAGATCTTGGGTTTCTTGTTTGTTGGATTTACTTTCTAGAAATGAGTTCCAGTTTAGCAGTCAAGAAAATGTGGTTATGTAACCACATGCTTTATAACTGAATATTGACTTTCCTTCCCTACCAACTACCCTGCCACCCAAGGAAAGTGATGTTAATAAGCAGAATAACAATAATAATGATTTATTTCATCAAGCACTTGTTGTGTAACAGGCATGATCCTATCTCATTTCAACCTGAGAAAACTGTGTTCGAATAAAGAAAGAACAACTGTTAGAACCACATTTACATTTAGAATTTAAATAAACTTTCTTTTGTTAGCCTGTCATAAAACATAATATCAGCCAATAGTATAGAAGAGTTTATGGTTAAAAATTTGCCTTTACCACCCTTTCCAACTCTAATATTTCTATCCCGAGGGAACATTCTAACATTCTTTCTGTTTCCGTTTTTCCTGGTGATTTCCTCCATCATTATAGATAATATTTTACCACATTTTCTTTATTTATCAACTTCAGGCAGTACTTACTGGCTGTATCTTAAAAAACTAAAAGTTTAGCTCATTTTATATCTCCTACTTTCTTGTCCACTAATTTTCTCAATGCTTGATTATTATGGTTTTATTGATATTGATTCTTAAGTAACTTTAAATATTATAATCCAATTTTTTATTGTTTTAGCCACTTTAAAAAATATTTGTTGACTCTTTGTTTGTAAATATAAGAATAATAGTGCCTCTAAAATTATTTCTCTTTTCTTCCCCCTTTCCATATGCTATTCCTATTTATTTTAATTTTACATTGTCAAGGTAATTAATATTATATTACATCCTCAATCATAACTAAGTCTTTCTTACTTTGTATCTTGACTCTGAAATTTTAGAATAGTTTTATTATCATTTTGTTAGATAAACATTGTTTATCACTGGCATGCTAGGGTTCAATTTCATTCTGTCTAACCTCACTGTCCCTCAGTAGACACAGTTCAATTTACTGTATCCCTCATCCCTCATTTCAAACTCCATACACCTGATGATTACAACCTAGATTCTGTCCTTAGTTCTCATAAACAGTTACACTCCCTTATTTCTTTAGTATCCATGCAGCAGTCTCCTGTGTATGACTTCTATAAGTTAAAAAAATCTTGTCCTGTAATAACCACTCCTTTCAATTTTCTTTCCTGTTACAGTTTTATTCCTTTTGTGTAACTTCACTTTCATTTCAGGAGCATTTCTGATCCAAATGAAAGCAATATTTTTGCACAGGCTGTCATCTTCAAATGGAATTCATGAAAATCGGTAACTCTGCTTAGCTGTCTCCATGGTTCAGGGTTCCTCTCTCTAAATAAATATGGCAGTGATGGATTTGATATCTTAATTCTTTTTCAACCATGTCTACTTGACACGGGATCTTTTCCAAGGTCGCTCTTCCAGGAAAGATCAGTGGGATCAGGCCTCAAGGAATCATGGAAATAGGTCAGGTATTACTATGAAAAGTTCCCCTGTGATGGTGAATCAATAATCCTTCCACCTACTACTTTTTACCTGCTTACCACTGGTGCATTTATCCCAAAGTAAGGGGCTGATTCTCAGTATAATCTTCACACTTAAGAACAGTGTAAACACTGTTGGGTTTTCTATTACGGTCAGTTAGCATAATACTTAACTAGTTTAGGGAGACTAAGATTAAAAAATCCATACTATTTTGATATTCAGGCATAACAGACCCATAAAGAATCTTAACTGTTACATTTTTATTGATAAAAAGACATAAAATAAGATCATTTAGTAAGTTCCCAGAAGAAAAATCCTAACTAGTATCTATGATTGCTGCTTCTCCCATAGGCAGGCATGGTGTCACCCATACAGAGTACTGGAATCTGTGGAACAGTGGTGTGTTGGGGGAAAGGAGGCAAAAGGAAGAGTAGAAACATCAGAGCAGGACAGGTGACCTCTTTTGTTTTGGGAGGTCATAAAAGGAAAAGGAAACTAAAAATAAAACAAAACAAAATTCTAAGCAGGCCGCCTTCAGGAATTTCAAGGATCCACTTTGAAAGGTGAGAATTCTGGGCTGGGCAAAGGGGAAAAGATCATGTGTCAGTATCTGGGTAGCATTACTTTGAACCAAATTCCAGTATTTCTTGATTATGGGGGTGTCCTAATAAAGATTAGAAAAATCAGAAAATGGTCTAGCACTAATAAATAAGTTTAATCACTATAGGAAAATAAATGTGGAAGAGCTCTTGCTCTTTGACCAGCATACAGGTTAAGATATTTGAACCATGAAAGTTGGGAAAGTGAAAAAAAATGTAGTAACCTGAGTCCATGTTTCTTCTGGCATTTAGATTCTGTTAAAGTGTGGGTCCTCAGCTTCAGTGCATAAGACAGCAGACTGCTTTCAAATCCTACTTGTTCATGGCAATGTATTTCCTAATATTCTGTAGTCTCATCTTCTTTCTGTTTATGGGGTGAGGCTGGGAGAGATGTAGATCTGTAATTTGCTTTGCAGCTCTTATAAAGTCTTGAAATTTAAATGAGATGATAAAATTCTTTTAATTTTATCAAAATGCCTCATACTATTATTTTATTCCAATTTTTCATTTTAAATTCACTATTACAAATTCAAAAATCAATCATTGACCATGACATGCTTTTCAGTAGGATTATGCAGATCAAATCAGATCCTCTGTTCTCATGCTCCCTGGACACTGAACAAAGGTAGATATGATTTTGCCACAAATGGTCCTCTGTCTCTGGTTGTCTATTTTCTTATTTTTTTCCCACATGCCACATTAAGTAACATCCAAAAGCATCACCAGTAAATTTACAACACTAAGGAACAGCTTGCTTGCTTAATGCTGTGAGAATCGACAAGATCTAAAAAGCTAAAGCCAGAAATCTGTGATAAACTTCAATCTGATGAACACATGAGTCAACCAAACAGCCTTCAAGAACCAGATCAATCTAAAAGTTAATAGAGAATCACTTGGGTCCAAGCCATGATTTTGTAAGATACATTATCTGGTGCTATAATCCCACTTTTTAAGCATCTCCTAAAAGCAGACTTTATGTCAGAGCAAGGTTATCTAATGTAAGGTAGCAGATGTAAGATACAATTTAAAAAAATTGTTGAATAGGAAACATACTACAGGAGAAGAGTGCAGAATGTAATAACACATTTCTTAAAAATTATAATTTAACTGTTTTCATTTAAGTGTAGCAGCATGGTTATGAAAAAAATGGGAAAATGTAGACAGAAAGAATATGACAATGTTTAAAGCCAATAAGAGGTTTTACTTATTTATTTTTTAACCCATTGACATGCCCAGAGCAAAAAACTTGCATTGTGAAATTTTGCAAAAATTTCCACTTCCAGAGGGCAACCTACATAAGGACTACTGTTTAAGAACAGCTTGAATTTTATAGGCAAGGAGTGGCAAAAACACTTTAATAAAGTTCACCCCTGCTGATCTTGCTGATAGTACCTCCTGCAATGCCTTACAACTTCTCTGTATGCCAAATGGCTGTAGTTTTAATCCACAATCATTACAATACTGAGCTTTTGAAATCCTGGAGACGCAGACTTTATAACTAAGGAATACAACATAAGAATAACAATGTTCCAGTTGGGAATCCATTTATCTCTCAGATCTCCATAGAATTATGTGTAATTGGTCAGCTTGTGAAAAGAGTCCTTGTTTCTATCAGAGTATTTTTAAACAGATTTTTTTTCTGAATTGAGCATTAACTTTTGTTTCTATAAACATTTATGGTATGTATTTAAGTTACCATGAAATTCTCAAATTTCTCCTGTTAGCAAACTGAGAAATTAAACCAGTAGAAATTCTAATTTTCCCAGTTAGGGGAAAAGTCAAAACTAGGAATAATGTGATTTGACCAAAGCAGATAGAGGGTGTACACTTCATAGTCGCGTTAATATTTCAAATTTTATCATTCATACCAGCACAGGATTTTTTCCATATATTTCACCTAATATGAATTTATTATCCATCTCAAGTGACATGTTTCCTATTTGCACAGTCTAATTATGGATCAATTAACACTATGGAGTTTAAACACATATTGTGTATTTTAATGCCCTATTAGAATTAGACAGATGTTACATTTCAATATGAGAAAAATATCATTAATTATCTAACACTTAAAATGGTTTTAAATGATGATGAATGACATGTAATTCTGTGCTCTTTGATGCCTACAAATATACATAGGGAAAGCATCTTTACTTGCTTCAATATTTACAATTATTTAGCATGTAAGACTCTTGAGTACAAAATATAATTGGTAATTTTAACTAACAAATCATAGATTCACAATTTATTGGCATTTTGGAATTGTTTCTAGCTCTTATGTTGTGTTTTCTGAGGCAATAGACAGGTTGCAGTGTTGTGGTATACTGCATGTTTTTATTTACCTAGAATTTCTCTTAGTCTAATGCTAATTTATTTTCATTCCTCATCCTGGGATCTTATACTAATCAGAGAACAAAAAACAGCCTGAACCATTCTTCCACCAGCTGCTTGAGGTGCTCTGAGCTCTCACTATAACTCTGTTTTAAGGGGTTGCAGAAGCAAATATGGACAAATTAAGAAAAAAAATACAAAAAATAATTAGATATAAAATAAACATATAAACTCAGAAATTTGCTATAAATCATGAGTGATTACATTCTGACATATGTGAGAAAGTACTACATTTCCATAGCCAATTTTCACTGTTCAAATTATCTAATCATACACATCATAAGGGGCACGTATTTCAGAAGTAGAAGAGACAATATTTAAATAACTCGTCTTGCTGAAATATCTGTAACCATAATTTTGTGTTCCTTTTTTTGTTTGTTTGTTTGTTTAAACGGAGTCTCACTCTGTCTGCCAGGCTGGAGTGCAGTGGCACGAGCTGGGCTCACTGCAGGCTCCGCCTCCCAGGCTCGCACCATTCTCCTGCCTCAGCCTCCCGCAGCGTAGCTGGCACTGCAGGGGCCCGCCACCACGTCCGGCTAATTTTTTTTTTTGTATTTTTAGTAGAGACGGAGTTTCACCGTGTTAGCCAGGATGGCCTCGATCTCCTGACCTCGTGATCCTCCCACCTTGGCCTCCCAAAGTGCTGGGATTACAGGCGTGAGCTACCGCGCCCAGCCAATCTTGTGGTTTTTTAACTTTCCCTAACGTTGTAATTTAAACTTAAGCTATTATTTGCCTATAATGGCTTTTATAAAATTAAAGGTAATTTGATATTTAACAAGAAGATATATGACAATACAAAAACATATTTTATTAACTGGAAATGGATCTATCTCGTGAACAGACGTAGCCATCTATATTCTAGAGGATTTCATTTGTGATACGAAGTTGTACTATGGAACATGGGTCTCAGCTATAAAATTTTGCTCTGTTACTGAGACTCTGAAAAAAATTCAGCAAGTCTCTGACATAGGTAAAATTATGTTTAAATTAAACAATTTTTAAAAATCAACTGTCATTAATTATTTAAAGGAAAATGTGTTTCAAGTTAGAATTAATAATCATAGGTCAGTGTAAACACTGGGATCCTTAATTAAACTGCAGGGATTCTAATTCTAGCTATAGCACTTAATAGTTACGTAACCTTGGAACAACTATTTATGTTCTGTGTGATTCATCCACAAAATGAGCATAGAAAAGTATCTACCATGTGGGGTTATTATATAATTAAACTAATTGATGTATATAAAATATTTTAAAATAGTGCTTAGTGTGTTAGTATTTACATCCTTCTTGCTGTTATTTACTTAAATTAACTATTTTCTCACATTGCTATATAAGATGAATACCCAATTCATATTCAGTGGGCTGGCTATGAATCTAACTGCAGACAACAAATGGGAAGAGTCATTATTCAGGGTGTTACATTACCTATGATTTAATACTTAGCCAGATTCAAATATTTTTGACATCACTGTGGCCCTTGTACTCATTTAGGTTTATGATGTGATGCTAGAAGAGAACATCTACCAAAATGCTTTACAGAAATAAAAAGTTTCAAATCATATTCCTCTTTTCCTGCATGCCGTCTAATTTACCTATGCCTCTCCTTGTCAGTAAACAATGACACTTTATTATATCTGATGGTAGACTTTATACTATACCTTTCTATTCTTTAATTGAGCCTTACGTGTTTTCTGTACCATAGTAACCTAAAAAATGCATGAGCTAATGAATTGTTAGCTCATTTTTGTGTCCCAGACTCAACTCACACAAGGTCCTTTTTATTTATTTATTTATTTTTGAGACAGAGTCTCACTCTGTTGCCCAGGCTGGAGTGCAGTGGCACGATCTTAGCTCACTGCAAACTCCGCCTCCCGGGTTCAGTCATTCTCCTGCTTCAGCCTCCCAAGTAGCTGGGACTAAGGTGCCCGCCACCACCCCCGGCTAATTTTTTTGTATTTTTAGTAGAGACGGGGTTTTACCGTGTTAGCCAGGATGGTCTCCATCTCCTGACCTCGTGATCCACCTGCCTCGGCCTCCCAAAGTGCTGGGATTACAGGCGTGAGCCACTGCGCCCGGCCCACAAGGTCCCTTCTACTACAGATCCTACATTATAGTATATTTACTATAATCTATTTTATTTATGTATTTTATATTTAAAACATAACATATTTTACTTTATATTTAAACATATACAATTTATTTCAAGAAATATTTCATTGTGTAAGAATTAATATTAATAATATTTATGTTATTTTTGAGGGACTATCAAAACTATTAAAAAGATTACCTTATATAAAACACTCAGGGTTGTCCAAGCACATTATCCCAGAGGAAAGTCTAAAAGAACAATTATTTTTTGATTTTTTGATTTTAGCTATCTTGCAGGAGTAAACTTTATGCCTGCAAGATAGCTATAAAAAAAAGATAAAAAAAAATAGATGTTGGCATGGATGTGGTGAAAAATGAACACTTCTACACTGCTGGTAGGAATGTAAACTAGCAAAACCACTGTGGAAAATAGTGTGGAGATCCCTTAAAGAACTAAAAGTAGAACTACCATTTGATGCAGCAATCCTACTACTGAGTAACTACCCAGAGGAAAAGACGCTATTATACAAAAGAGATACTTGTACACACGTTGATAGGAGCACAATTCGCGATTGCAAAAATACGGAACCAGCCCAAATGCCCATCAATCAATGAGTGCATAAAGAAATTGCGATATATATATAGATATATGTTTAAATATACATATGAAGGAATAGTACTCAGCCATAAAAAGGTAGGAACTAATGGTATTTGCAGCAACCTGGTTGGAACTGGAGACTACTATTCTACGTGAAGTAACTCTGAAACGGCAAAGTAAACATCACATGTTCTCATTCATAAGTAGGAGCTAAGCTATTAGGATGCAAAGGCATAAGAATGATAAAATGAACTTTGGGGTTTAGGGAGAAAGGGTGGGAGTGGGGTAGAGGATGAAAGAATACAAATTAGGTTCAGTGTATACTGTTTGGGCATTAGGTGAACCAAAATCTCACAAATCACAACTAAAGAACTTACTCATGTGACCAGATACCACCTGTTCCCCAAAAACCTATGGAAATAAAAAAGTAAAAATAAATAAATAAATTTTCTTGCAACTTTAGCAATAATCATCATAATTTTAATAAATAATTTAATTGTAGGTATATTATTGATAAAGAAAAGGGTCTGTATTCTAAAAATTATAATTTAGTAAATGGATTGAAATGAGCTTTGTTTGGCTCAAAACAACATTACATATAATCACATGAAAATTACAAGCTTTAAAGAAGTTTAGTATGCTCTCTTTGTGGCCAGCATTTCTTGGTTTGCTTTGCCTTGCTTCTCTGTTTCTGTTTAATGAGGAAGCAAGTGGCCACGTGTACTCTTGAGATCTGTTCTCCATTGGTCTGGGACCCAAAGTTGGAGAACTATTGACTTAGAGATGAGAATTTCATTAGAAGACAAGCACGTAAGGAATAAAGCAAATTAGGCCTCTCTTGAAACACAGCCTTATTTGTTCTATGAACGACAAACTCCAGTGGCATCAGAATCTCTCTCGTCTTCCTCTTTTGTTGCCTGTTTCTGGAATGCCTTTATATAGGGTAAAATGCAAACTTCTCTGAAATTCGAGGTTAATGTAGACATAAAGGTCACAAAATCTCTATGACACTAGACTTATTATTGCTTCAAAAATTAGTCAAAACTATTTTTTATGTAATAATAGAAGAAAAAAATAAGAATTTTAATTGTGGGGACATTAAAGAAAACATCTGAGACCTTGGTTTAGATTAGCAGAAGCCCACATTTCATAAGCAAAAATACTGATAATCAAACTTCATATGGAGTCTCTTGTGTGTTTGGTCCTTAATTCTTGGTATTTATCTAATACCTTCCTATATAATAGAGGGACTAAAAGCCTGAAGACTTTCATAAGTATGCAAGCAAGCCAGTCTACAGCAACAATATAAGTATACCTCAGGTCTTCTAGCATCTCAAAACTCTATAGGCAACAGTGGGAGAGGCATGAAAATTAACGAAATGAATAGAACACATTTTACCTAGGGTTTATTATAACCAGAATGCAGCAGTCCAAACTTTTTATAACCTACAGTGCTCAAGATTGAGAATAAAAATAGATGGAGACAGAAAATATTGAGTTAGCTGGTTATTTTATGAAAACTCAAATCAAGGAGGGTACTCAGTGTGAAAGCAGTCATTAACAAAATCATGTTGAGGCAGTGGGTTGGGAGGAATAACAAAACAATTCATAGATTAGTAACTGAGCATGTCCTGCTGAGTATGTGAGTTTTAATCCTGGTTTTGCCACCTGCTAGTTGGATGCCCCAGGGAAACATATTTCACACCGCTGTGCTTCATTTTTTTCATCTATATAATGGGGATGATAATAATAGTGCCTTCTTTAGGGTCATTTGAAGATCAAATTAAGATCTGTGAAGTACTAGTATATTGGGACCTTGTGGGCACCCGAGAGGTTCACTGTTATTAACAGGCAAGGAAACAAATAAGACTAGCTAATGAAAAAAAGAATTGACATGGAAAACCCAGGCAAAACTTAAGTAACAATCAACATGATCAAAGCATAGCCATTGTTTTTCTTCCATTAATAATCATCTTTAAAATAATAGATTGAGGATAATTTTTAAAAAAGTTACCTGTGGTAGAAAATAGTGAGGTTTTTGTCAATGAAGAAGTTTAGTTCAATTTTATGGTATGTACACATCAGAGTTTCTGGAATCTTTATCACATATTTCAAGGTTTCTCAAAATTTAGAATTTATAAATATACCTTTTATCTCCTGCATCCCTTGTCCTCCTGTATTTCCTTTTCATTTCTAAGTTTACTTTTTGATTTTTAACACATGTTAATCTCCAAATTATCTCAACATCTAACACTAAAAAAATTGTTTTCTGAAAATTGCCTTCCAGTTGTTTTTGGTATTTTTTAATTATTGCCTAGGTGCTAGTTTTATTTTGGACAGACATAGTTAATATACAAGGTTAACTCTAGGTTATGAGATAGCCCACTCAAAAAGTCTCAAGTAGGTGGGACCTGTTGGATTATGATTTTGGATTTTTTTTTTTTTTTTGCAGAAGTTCTATTTGCATCAACATTCATTAGTTTTCACACAGTATTCCAAATTCCCTGGAACAATTTTCGATATAATTTTTTCCTATTTTCTTTTATAATTTCACATTATGATCTGCATCATTAAAACCAAGTATAAATAAAGCAACTGTTCTGAACAAAGCAGACAAAGGAAGTGGTTGCCTAGCAACAGAAATCACAGAACAGATCCTGAACTCCTACTCAGATGGAGCCTTCATACCCCAGCTTGATGGTGAAAGCATTTCTGAGTATCTATTCTCTTACTGTGCATGTCCCTTACACTGGAAAAATAAGCTTTTGATCCTGCTATTAAATGGAATTGGAAATTAATAGGCTTCAGTAGAGTTTGTAGTATTTCTTTAACGTTCATGAATTATTATGTTGAAGATGATGAATGTTACACGCCTGATATGCTCACGCTTTTGTTTCAGAGCTGAGTGACTATGTACCTGAGAATTATTCTGAATGCTCATGGGGTGACCATATGGGCTGAGCTGGAGATTAAAATGCATCTGAATCTGTGTGTGAACAAATCCAAAGCAAGCACTGGGACATCCTAGAAACCAAGTCAGCTTGATTCTCTCATATTGGGAATGCTGTTGTATACAGCTCTGGAATTGCATATCAGGGTTTGTGAACCCATGCAAATTACAACTAATTTATATTTTAATTCATATCATAATTCCCTGTGTTTGAGCATAGGAATCTTCAAAAATTAAAAAAAATACAAATAGATTTCGTTCTCTTGCCTTGTGTGTGTTTTTAAAAATTATCTCTGAAATTAGTAGAAAGACCAGTATATTTCACAATTATTTGTTATTATTTTGAGGCTATAAGTTAAGCTTTTTATTTCTTTGTGGATGTCAGATGCACAGAATTGGGTCATTCTTCATTTATTTTCTTGTTTAATATTATCCTTCATCCTTGCAAGGCCTCCTGGATTTTAGATATTTACTTAGCAGTATATTTTTAGTATCTCCTTTCTATCTGGTTATCTTTCACAGATAAGTTAAGCCTTGTCATTGATGCCAAATCTATGAGCCAACTCATACATAGATTCTGAGAAGTCAGGTTGAAAGCCCTCCTGAGAGGAAAAACTAAACTTGATTCCAACAATAAGTACCAATGTGAGTGGAATATAATGGAAAGATGTTGTAAAAGCAGCATAAAGTGTCATTTGCAAGAGAAGAGCATGTAACACCACAGGCAAAAGAGAGAGACAATAGAACAGGAACCAGCTTTCCTGTGGGATATGAAGAAAGTACAAAGTGAAATGAGGTAAGTGGTTGAGGGTCTAGACCATGAACCCTAAACCAATCATCTCAGGAGACAGTGGATAATTGTTAGTGGGGACTGTCTATGTGGGTATAGGGGGCAAGTTGGTGGCTGAGAATAATATGTTCTGAACCTTCTAAGGCAATGTTTTGAATACATAGTAGAGAAGTAAATAATAAAAGTTCTTGCTCTCCAGAGTTCACACTAAAATAGAGGAAGATGAGCACATAAATAAATGATTCTAAATTATGGCAAGTACAAGAACAGAGATTCACATGGCATGTTTCAAAGTGAAAGGGAGTGGGGACAAACAACTATACAGAGGGGAGGTATGGTCAGACTAGGCTTTCCTTTGCGAGCTAGCATGTCCTATCTGTTCTCAAAGAGTTACACTCATCATGTAGTAAGAGATTTTCAGGCACATCTCCATGGAGATTCAATCTCCACTACACTGTGGAGTCTACAGTCATAACTTGGAGATATTGCAGGTTTGGTTGCAGATCGCTGCAATAAAGAAAATACTGCAATGAAGTGAGTTGCACATATTTTTTGGTTTCCCAGTAGTTACATAAATTATGTTTATACTACACTATAGGTAACTGTGTAATAACAGTATGTCTAAAAAACACAACATCCATACCTTCATTAAAAATACTTTACTGCTAAAGATAATGTTATCATCTGTGCCTTTAGCACATTTTTATCTTTTTCCTTGTGGAGTCTTGCCTTAACTTTGATGGCTTTTGACCAATTAGACTGGGGGTTGCTGAAGGTTGGGGTGGCTGTAGAAATGTGGCTGTGGACATTTTTAAAATAAGACCACAATGAAGCTTGCTGCATAGATGAACTCTTCCTTTCATGAAAGATTTCTCTGTAGTCTGTGATGCTGTTTCATAGCATTTTACCCACAGTAGAATTTCTTTTGAAAGTGGATTAAATCCTCTCAAACCTGGATGCTGCTTTATCAACTAAGTTTATGTAATATTTTAAATAAATATTTTCTTCTCATCTCAACAACGTTCACAGCATCTTCACCAGGACTACTTTCTTTTTTTTTTTCCTTTTATTATTATACTTTAAGTTTTAGGGTACACGTGCACATTGTGCAGGTTAGTTACCTATGTATACATGTGCCATGCTGGTGCGCTGCACCCACTAACTCGTCATCTAGCATTAGGTATATCTCCCAATGCTATCCCTCCCCCCTCCCCACACCCCACAACAGTCCCCAGAGTGTGATGTTCCCCTTCCTGTGTCCATGTGATCTCATTGTTCAATTCCCACCTATGAGTGAGAATATGCAGTATTTGGTTTTTTGTTCTTGCGATAGTTTACTGAGAATGATGATTTCCAATTTCATCCATGTCCCTACAAAGGACATGAACTCATCATTTTTTATGGCTGCATAGTATTCCATGGTGTATATGTGCCACATTTTCTTAATCCAGTCTATCATTGTTGGACATTTGAGTTGGTTCCAAGTCTTTGCTATTGTGAATAATGCCGCAATAAACACACGTGTGCATGTGTCTTTATAGCAGCATGATTTATAGTCCTTTGGGTATATACCCAGTAATGGGATGGCTGGGTCAAATGGTATTTCTAGTTCTAGATCCCTGAGGAATGGCCACACTGACTTCCACAATGGTTGAACTAGTTTACAGTCCCACCAACAGTGTAAAAGTGTTCCTATTTCTCCACATCCTCTCCAGCACCTGTTGTTTCCTGACTTTTTAATGATCGCCATTCTAACTGGTGTGAGATGGTATCTCATAGTGGTTTTGATTTGCATTTCTCTGATGGCCAGTGATGATGAGCATTTTTTCATGTGTTTTTTGGCTGCATAAATGTCTTCTTTTGAGAAGTGTCTGTTCATGTCCTTCGCCCACTTTTTGATGGGGTTGTTTTTTTCTTGTAAATTTGTTTGGGTTCATTGTAGATTCTGGATATTAGCCCTTTGTCAGATGAGTAGGTTGTGAAAATTTTCTCCCATTTTGTAGGTTGCCTGTTCACTCTGATGGTAGTTTCTTTTGCTGTGCAGAAGCTCTTTAGTTTAATTAGATCCCATTTGTCAATTTTGTCTTTTGTTGCCATTGCTTTTGGTGTTTTAGACATGAAGTCCTTGCCCATGCCTATGTCCTGAATGGTAATGCCTAGGTTTTCTTCTAGGGTTTTTATGGTTTTAGGTCTAATGTTTAAGTCTTTAATCCATCTTGAATTGATTTTTGTATAAGGTGTAAGGAAGGGATCCAATTTCAGCTTTCTATATATGGCTAGTCAGTTTTCCCAGCACCATTTATTAAATAGGGAATCCTTTCCCCATTGCTTGTTTTTCTCAGGTTTGTTAAAGATCAGATAGTTGTAGATATGTGGCGTTATTTCTGAGGGCTCTGTTCTATTCCATTGATCTATATCTCTGTTTTGGTACCAGTACCATGCTGTTTTGGTTACTGTAGCCTTGTAGTATAGTTTGAAGTCAGGTACCGTGATGTCTCCAGCTTTGTTCTTTTGGCTTAGGATTGACTTGGTGATGTGGGCTCTTTTTTGGTTCCATATGAACTTTAAAGCAGTTTTTTCCAATTCTGTGCAGAAAGGCATTGGTAGCTTGATGGGGATGGCATTGAATCTGTAAATTACCTTGGGCAGTATGGCCATCTTCACGATATTGATTCTTCCTACCCATGAGCATGGAATGTTCTTCCATTTGTTTGTGTCCTCTTTTGTTTCCTTGAGCAGTGGTTTGTAGTTCTCCTTGAAGAGGTCCTTCACATCCCTTGTAAGTTGGATTCCTAGGTATTTTATTCTCTTTGAAGCAATTGTGAATGGGAGTTCACTCATGATTTGGCTCTCTGTTTGTCTGTTGTTGGTGTATAAGAATGCTTGTGATTTTTGTACATTGATTTTGTATCCTGAGACTTTGCTGAAGTTGCTTATCAGCTTAAGGAGATTTTGGGCTGAGACAATGGGGTTTTCTAGATATACAATCATGTCATCTGCAAACAGGGACAATTTGACTTATTCTTTTCCTAATTGAATACGCTGTGTTTCTTTCTCCTGCCTGATTGCCCTGGCCAGAACTTCCAACACTATGTTGAATAGGAGTGGTGAGAGAGGGCATCCCTGTCTTGTGCCAGTTTTCAAAGGGAATGCTTCCAGTTTTTGCCCATTCAGAATGATATTGGCTGTGGGTTTGTCATAGATAGTTCTTATTATTTTGAAATACGTCCCATCAATACCTAATTTATTGAGAGTTTTTAGCATGAAGGGTTGTTGAATTTTGTCAAAGGCCTTTTCTGCATCTATTGAGATAATCATGTGGTTTTTGTCTTTGGCTCTGTTTATATGCTGGATTACATTTATTGATTTGTGTATATTGAACCAGCCTTGCATCCCAGGGATGAAGCCCACTTGATCATGTTGGATAAGCTTTTGATGTGCTGCTGGATTCGTTTTGCCAGTATTTTATTGAGGATTTTTGCATCAATGTTCATCAAGGATATTGGTCTAAAATTCTCTTTTTTGGTTGTGTCTCTGCCCGGATTTGGTATCAGAATGATGCTGGCCTCATAAAATGAGTTAGGGAGGATTCCCTCTTTTTCTATTGATTGGAATAGTCTCAGAAGGAATGGTACCAGTTCCTCCTTGTACCTCTAGTAGAATTCGGCTGTGAATCCATCTGGTCCTGGACTCTTTTTGGTTGGTAAGCTATTGATTATTGCCACAATTTCAGAGCCTGTTATTGGTCTATTCAGAGATTCAACTTCTTCCTGGTTTAGTCTTGGGAGAGTGTATGTGTCGAGGAATTTATCCATTTCTTCTAGATTTTCTAGTTTATTTGTGTAGAGGTGTTTGTAGTATTCTCTGATGGTAGTTTGTATTTCTGTGGGATCGGTGGTGATATCTGCTTTATCATTTTTTATTGCGTCTATTTGATTCTTCTCTCTTTTTTTCTTCATTAGTCTTGCTAGCGGTCTATCTATTTGTTGATCCTTTCAGAAAACCGGCTCCTGGATTCATTAAGTTTTTGAAGGGTTTTTTGTGTCTCTATTTCCTTCAGTTCTGCTCTGATTTTAGTTATTTCTTGCCTTCTGCTAGCTTTTGAATGTGTTTGCTCTTGCTTTTCTAGTTCTTTTAATTGTGATGTTAGGGTGTCAATTTTGGATCTTTCCTGCTTTCTCTTGTGGGCATTTAGTGCTATAAATTTCCCTCTACACACTGCTTCGAATGCGTCCCAGAGATTCTGGTATGTTGCGTCTTTGTTCTCGTTGGTTTCAAAGAACATCTTTATTTCTGCCTTCATTTCGTTATGTACCCAGTAGTCATTCAGGAGCAGGTTGTTCAGTTTCCATGTAGTTGAGCGGTTTTCAGCGAGTTTCTTAATCCTGAGTTCTAGTTTGATTGCACTGTGGTCTGAGAGATAGTTTGTTATAATTTTTGTTCTTTTGCATTTGCTGAGGAGAGCTTTACTTCCAAGTATGTAGTCAATTTTGGAATAGGCGTGGTGTGGTGCTGAAAAAAATGTATATTCTGTTGATTTGGGGTGGAGAGTTCTGTAGATGTTTATTAGGTCCACTCGGTGCAGAGCTGACTTCAATTCCTGGGTATCCTTGTTGACTTTCTGTCACGTTGATCTGTCTAATGTTGACAGTGGGGTGTTAAAGTCTCCCATTATTAATGTGTGGGAGTCTAATTCTCTTTGTAGGTCACTCAGGACTTGCTTTATGAATCTGGGTGCTCCTGTGTTGGGTACATATATATTTAGGATAGTTAGCTCTTCTTGTTGAATTGATCCCTTTACCATTATGTAAAGGCCTTCTTTGTCTCTTTTGATCTTTGTTGGTTTAAAGTCTGTTTTATCAGAGACTAGGATTGCAACCCCTGCCTTTTTTTGTTTTCCATTTGCTTGGTAGATCTTCCTCCATCCTTTTATTTTGAGCCTATATGTGACAGCAGGACTACTTTCAAGAAACCACTTTATTTGTTCATCCATAAGAAGCAATTCCTCATCTGTACAAATTTTATCATGAGATTGCAGCAATTCAGTCACATCTTCAGGCTCCACTTCTATTTCTCTTGCAGTTTCTATCATATCTGCAGTTACTTCGTCTACTGAAGTCTCAAACCCCTCAAAGTTATTCATGAGTGTTGGAATCAGCTTCTTCCAGTCTCCTGTATATGTTGATATTTGGACCTCCCATGAATTACATTTGTAATGACATCTATAATGGTGAATATTTTCCAGGAAGTTTTCAATTTATTTGCCCAGATCCATTGGAGAAATCACAATATATGGCAGCTATAGCCTTATAAAATGAATTTCTTTCCTTTTTTTTTTTTTCTTTAGATGGAGTTTTGCTCTTGTTGCCCAGGCTGGAGTGCAATGACACCGTCTCAGCTCCCCTCTGCCTCCCAGGTTCAAGTGATTCTCCTGTCTCAGCCTCCCAAGTAGTTGGGATTACAGGTGTCTGCCACCACATCCTGCTGGTTTTTATATTTTTAGTAGAGATAGAGTTTCACCATGTTGGCCAGGCTGGTCTTGAACTCCTGGCCTCAGGTGATCTGCTAGCCTTGGCCTCCCAAAGTGCTGGGATTATAGGCCTGAGCCACCGCACCTGGCTAAAATGTATTTCTTAAATAACAATACTCAAAAGTTGAAATTGTTCATTGATCCATGGGCTGCAGAATGGTTACGTTTGTAGGCATAAAATAAACATTAATTTCTTTGTACATTTCCATCAGAGCTCTTGAGTAATCAGATGCATTGGCAATGAGCTGTAATATTTTGAGAGGAATTTTTTTTCCTTAGCAGTAGGTCTTAATATTGGGCTTAAAATATTTATTAAATAGTGCTGTAAACAGATTTACTGTTATGCTGTAAACAGATGTGCTGTGATCCATGCTTCGTTGTTCCATTTATAGAGCACAAGGAGAGTAGATTCAGCACAATTCTTAAGGACCCTATGATTTTCAGAATGCTGAATGAGCTCCACATGGTAAATGAATTTAAAGTCCAAAAGGTGAATGAGATCCAAATAGTAAAGGAGATTAAAGTCACCAGTGGCCCCTAACAAAAGCCAGTGTCCTTTGAAACTGCAAAGCCAGGCATAGATTTCTCTTTCTAGCTATGAAAGTTTTAGATGGCATCTTTCTCCAATATAACATTGCTTTGCCTATATTGAAAATATGCTGTTTAGTGTAGCAACCTTCAATTATTTTAGCTTGATCTTCTAGATAACTTGTGGCTTCACCTTGAATTTTCATGTTATGGTGAAAGCTTCTTTCCTTAAACCTAATGAAACTAATGAATCAACATCCGTTGGCTTCAATATTTTCTTCTGCAGCCTCCTCACCCCTCTCGGCCTTCACAGAACTGAAGAGAGTTAGGTCCTTGTTTTAAATAGGTTTTGACTTAAGAGAATGTTATAGCCGATTTGATCTATCCAGACTCCTAACACAAGCCTGTTTTGCTTTTTTATAATTTTTTGTGTTCCCTGGAGTAGCAATTTTAATTTCCTTCAATAACGTTTCTTCTGCATTCACAACTTGGCTAACTGTATACTGCAATAGGCCTAACTTTCAGCCTATCTTGGCTTTTGACACGCCTTCCTCACTAAGCCTAATCTTTTCTATCTTTTGGTTTAAAGTGAGAGATGAGAGACTCTTCCTTTCATTTGAACACTTGGAGGCCATTGTAGGTTTATTAATTGGCTTAATTTCAAAATTACTATGTCTCAGAAAATAGGGAAGCTGGAGGACAGGGAGACAGATGAGGGAATAGCCAGACGGTGGAGCAATCAGAACACATACAACATTTATCAATCAAGTTAGCTGTCCTACGTGGGTGGGGTTCTTGATGCCCCAAAACAATTACTACAGGAACATTAAAGATTACTAATCACAGATGACCATAACAGGTATACTAATATCAACAAAGTCCAGGCACGTTGGCTCACACCTGTAATCCCAATACTTTGGGAGGCTGAGGCATATGGATCACTTGAGGTCAACAGTTCAAGATCAGCCTGGCCAACATGGTGAAACCCCATCACTACTAAAAATAAAAAAGTTAACTGGGTGTGGTGGCATGCACCTGTAGCCCCAGCTACTCGGTAGGCTGAAGTGGGAGAATTGCTTGAACCCAGGAAGAGAGGTTGCAGTGAGCCGAGATAGCACCACTGGACTCCAGCCTGGGAGGGAGAGTGAGACTCTGTCCCAATAATAATAATCATAATGAAAAAGTTTGAAATATTGTGAGAGTTACCAAAATGTAACACAGAGACACAAAATGAGCACATGCTATTGGAAAAATGGTGTGAATAGATTTGCTTGAAGCAGGGCTGCCACAAAATGTCAATCTGTAGAAAACACCGTATCAGTGAAAATCAACAAAGCAAAGCTCAATGAAACAAAGTCTACCTGTACTTCCCAAAGATATGACTTCCCAGATTTCCTGGAATTCTGTCAGCAACTATCAGTTTTGTACCTTTTCTCACCTGCTCAAATCAGAACTAGCTTAGAGCTTCCCCTTTCAGAGCCGTTGCTCTGAAACATAAATGTTTCATATCTCTTCTTAACATAAAACATATCTCTCTTTAACATAAATGCATATATTCTTTTCCAAAGCTGTCTTTCATTTTAGTAAAGTTGGTTCCTTGTCTAAAGATCAGGAGTAACTGCATAAAAGTAACACAGCATGTGAACAGTTTAGAGGCACTCAAATAAGTGTTCTCTTTAGTTCTGTGATTGTTTTCAGTTTCAAAATTGCTGTGAAATGAAAACATACATTTAACTAGACAGAAAACCCTACTGGAATTGGCCACAGTGCTAATTATTTATATCCCTCTCAGTTCTTTAATTTGTTGTGGTGAAATGAATGTGATCAGCATAGGGATTCGTGGTAGGTAGGTGGCTCTGCAGATAGACTGAAGCTATGTCTGTATAAGTCAAAGCCTTTACAGATTTCACTCATCCTGCTTCTACTGCCACCTTCTATGTTGCTTAGGAATTCAGAGTTTCTTTGGATTGAACATTAGGACATTTTCATATTCATAATTGTCTCTTCTTTCTGTATGGTATATAACATTAGAAGGGTTATAGGCTACCTGGGTAGGATGGAAGTTAATACTCAGTTCACTCATCCCAGAAATTATTCAGACGGCCGTGAAGCAATATTCTTCCTTGAAGGGTAGCAGAGTGAGAAGAAAGAGCCCAGGAAATTGAAGACTTAGAATTGACATTTTGGCTCCACCATTTACTTACCATATGGCTTTGTTTCATAGTTGAAAGGAAAGGAACTTAATTTTCTTTGGTGCAAAATTAGAATAATGCCTAGCTGTCAGTGTTGGTGTCAGAATTAATTAAGATAAACAGAAGGGCCCAGTATATAGATAGTCCTTAACAAATGCTGGACTCTCCCCTTTGCTTAGCTTTCCTATTTGTTATGCCCTGATATTATCAGCCTTATGTCTAGATGGGACTGGGACTTTGATGGTTTGGGCATATCTATTAATTAACGCTAATTTGTGAATTTAAGCACTGAGTGTTGTCACACCTCTGATCTAGTGAAAAACTACCTGCCGAAAGACTTGAATTCCATCATTTTACATTTTGTGTGGTCCACAGCTCTTTCCTACTGTGGTCTTAAAACTTTAAGGGCATTCTCCTAATTTCTTAGCCTTACTCACCTAGTTAGCAAGTGGAGTTACTTTGGGAATTTATAAAAATCTTCAGTTTGTTCTATGACATTTACATGTAGCTGTACTTATGATATTAAACCTCGTATTCAGAATTGTTATTTTTGTTCCACTTTTTCATATATTTGTTTATATTTATGGGGAACATTGACATTTTGATATGTGCACACAAGGTGTAGTGACCAGAATTCTTCCCCCTGCAATGCAGAGAGAGGCTATTGACACCTGAGAAGGAATATTTCACATATATTGACAAGAGTGCATAGCTAAAGGATGTGTCTACTTCTGAATTTTGACAGAGGCATTTGCTACATTGCATTTGTTCATTTGCTTATTTATTAACTTATTTATTACTGATTCAACAATTGTTTAATATATGCTGATTCTATCCATGGCCTTGTATTTGACAGGCTTTATGCTGCAAGGCATACACCATGATTTTTGCTTTCTCATAATAATGTACTTAGTAAGATGTGTTACACATTATGGTCACTCAATTCTATTGAAATGAATTCTTGGGAAAGAATTGTGTAGTACGTTTACTTTAGTATTCTCTGGTGTTCTATGATAGGATAGATAAAATGGGGAAGGTAGAAAAATTGGTAGATTTTATTAACATACAGGCAATAAATTTTTTTCTATTATATGTGCTGATCTTTTATTATCAAAAATCAGCCACATGCATCATATCATACTTATACCACATCTTTGCCAATGTAGTAATTTTTTTGCATTCCTTAACAAATAACTAAGTTCAATAATTTACCCTAAAATGCAAAAGTTAGTTTCAGAACTCAGGCTGTATTTTATTTTCAAGCTACAGTGAAGGCTAAATACTGCGTCTTACCAGATATTCATCTAGTTGAAGTATTGTTGGTAGATAAAGTTTAAATAATTAATAACAATATTTATAGCACTTTAAAATATATCATGTGACATTGTAGTGAAGATACGATTCTACTTCATTTTATAAATGATGAAATTGAAATTTTAGAAATTGAGAAAGACTTGCCCTTTTTAAACTCAGTGCTTTAAAATATATGTATCTATCTATAATAATTCCATCTCTGATTAGTTTCAATTTTTTGACATAATGTTAATTCATGTTGAGGCTATACAAAATACAGATAATATAAACAAATTCATAAAAATAAGATGGATTCTGATGACTGACATCGACATGATTTGCTCAGACATTTATTTCCTCTGCTTCGAAATGCACACACAGCCCTTCCTCTAAGGAAATATTTCTCAAAGGTTCGTCTATAGGCTACATACCTCAGAATCACTCAGGAAGTCTAACAAAATGAACATTCCTGGCTACTTCCCAAACTTCCTGAATCAAATTCCATGAAAGTGGAATTCTGGAAATTTATAGTTTTAAAAGCTCTCCTCCTCAATCTTAAGTAGATGAAAGTGTGAGAACAGCTGCTAAATGACTGTGCCCTTCCTGCAGTATAAGAATGTAATTCCATAACTGCTGATTATCCTGAGAGCTGGCCAGTCATGCAGAGCATCCAGGTGTTGAGAGTTTTGCAGCACAAATAATCCTCACAAGAACAGATGATACTTGATAGCATAGCACAGTGGAGTCATTTTAGAGAAAAAAGAAATATACAAAGCACAGAATGTGATGTTTCTCCACATTGACACTAGGAAGCTCATGCTTAAGAGAAATAATTCTCCTAGTGTGATCAGCATTATTGACACATGTAAATAAGCTGTGTGTCTGTAAGTTTGAGGTGGAAAATTCATGTTTAAAAAGCATTTTTCCTGCTTCTTCAAAGCCAGGAGGTCATCAACTGAAATTTTCCTGTGAAGATTTAGACAGTATGGTATAATACGATGCTGTCCAATACAAATATAATAAGAGACAAAAATGCAAGCCACATATAAAATTTCAAATTTTCCAGTGGCCACATTATAAAAAATAAAAAGAAGCAGGAGACAAAAATTTTAATAATTATTTTCTTTTACCTAGTACATCCAAAATATTATCATTTCAATATGCAAACAATATACAAATTATTGAGATAGTTTACATCCTTTAATTCATCTCAAGTTTTCAAAATCTCATCTCTATTTTTCACTTAAAACACTTCTTGTTTCAAACTAGTCATATATCAAGTGTGTGCAGCCACTTGTGGTTAGTGGCTGTCATATTGGGCTGTGCAGGTCTAATAGGTTTAATAGAGAAGAGTTGTGTTCACATCTTGTGCTTACCACTTAAATGTCTGGTGATGTCTAACAAGTAACATAACTTTTGAGCCACAGTTTTCTCATCTGAAAAAAATGTAAATTGGGAATAATATATAACATATAACTTACAATACTATTTGATCAGTTATACTGTAATCTGCAAGGTACTGATTATATGTGTATGTATATATGATGGTATGCTATGCTGGCTGTTACAAATGACTAAGAAAGAAAATTTCTAACATATTTAACAAAAGGTTATGTTAAGATAGTCCAAGTAGTTATGGGCACAGAAATACTCTATGCTGGGTGCAGAGCCAATGGTTTTACGGCCAATAATAGAGTTACAGTTTTATTTTTTGGTTGATAAAATCTTTTATTCTCTGAGAATGGAGTGTAAATGGCAGAAAAAAGGTGTCTGGTGCACACATACTTACACGTCCTGTGTAAAGCAACTACCTGTGCTTTTGTTCACGAGGGAAGATAAGGATAGCTAAAACCAATTTAATTTTGAGTGATCTATTGGGAAGCTTAGTTATCCACCAATATCCCAGATCTATAAATTGTAATAGTTATATCCTAACTGATCCCTTCACCAGAGAAAGCTTTATCTAAAGCGTCTTGCATTTTGGGTACATAATGCTGAAGAAACTCACCAATTTACTTACGATTTGGCATTCTGGAAAACATATCTGAGAAAACTTCTCTGCTTTAAAAGATGAGGTTGTTCTGAAAACAAAGGAATTAGCTATGCATTAATATGTTCTGTGATTGTACCATGCACAGCACAGTTGCATTCCAAAATGAAATGACAAAAGGATACTTATCCTTTCTTTAGATATCTCATGTCAGGAGAGAAGAATGGAGTCTAACAGCTTTTTGTTTATTTACAGGAAATATGTGCAGTAAAGCAAAAACTATACAAAATGAAATATTAAAGCAGGTTTAATAACCATTTATTGATTTAATTATTTGTGAACTCTAAAGGGAGGGAGAAATGGGGAGATACTGACAGGCTTGTGTTTTCTTACCTTCAACCAACTCAAATTCATAGTATTCTGGCTGCAAAAATTTTCTCCTATTATTTTATGAATTAATCCAGGTTAAATATTCCTTTTTAGAGCATGTCGCGTTTCTGTTTTTTTCTTTTTTCTTTTTTTTGAGACAGTCCAGGGGTTCTCATTCTCTGAACTTTTCTTTCTAGGATCTAAAAACACATAATGGCTAATTGCAATAATTTTTTTTAATTTTTGCTTATTCAGTGTGCAGTGTTTATTTTGGAGCCGTATCCAAAATAGTAAAACAAATTAATGTATTTTTTTTTGTTTTTCACAGAACCATCTCCGGAGATAATTGCCATTAAATTAATGATGTAGGTTACTCCTCCCATTGATGCCCTGTGCCATGGCTTAGCATGATTTCATTTCCACTTTTCAGATTATGAGACTCAGACAGAATGTACAAAATTCACAGCAAGGTTTAGAGACACCTTGTTGAAAGCAAAACAAAGAGCCGAAAATAGCAAAGCCCACATCCCACTTTTACTTCACTTGTTTTTTTCCTCATTAGCACAGATTATTTTCCAGAAATGGCTTACCAGATGATTCTCTG
This sequence comes from Homo sapiens, assembly GCF_000001405.40. Taxonomy (NCBI): domain Eukaryota; kingdom Metazoa; phylum Chordata; class Mammalia; order Primates; family Hominidae; genus Homo; species Homo sapiens. The sequence goes on from NC_000002.12 coordinate 154,966,093, forward strand.
GAAAACATCTTTTTAAAGTTCACTTTCTCTCTTTTGAGTTGGTTCTAATTTAGGATGATTGGAAATGTTAATTATTACCACTGCTCCATTAGGTACCTCAACAAGCACCTTCCGAGAGCCAAAAGGAATCTGTTTCTAAAGTGGGGTTTGTGTAAAAAACAGTTCACCTTAAGATACTACCATCCCTATTAATCTTGCAACAATAAGTAATTAAAATTTAGAAATTCATATAGGATATCTAAAATGCAATTGAAATAACACGTGTAATTAAGAGAATGTGAACCTAGCTTAAAAAGCCACAGCAGCTAAAAAAACCACTGTATGTTTGTATAGAGCTCATATATTACTTTCAGCAAATAGTTATATCATCCTCACTATGCATGAAGCACTGTATTAAAGCCCAAGAATTTCAAGAAGAGTAATATGTGGTCCTTAAGTTTAGGTAGCCAGAGTCTGATGGAGAGATATTTACAAGTGAATAATTTAAGTAACACATAAGAACTATGTAATAGAATCATGTCCATGATTCTTGGGAGATGAAGAGGTGGACTTCCTTTTCCCTGATTGGGAAAAGGGTTCAGGAGACAACTTGGATGAAGAAGTGATACTTGGAATGAATCTTAAAGATTGATTAAGCGCTTGCTAAATGGGCAAGAGGAAGAAAAGTATTCCAGGCAGAAGGACCAGCAAGAAAGAACATGACTCATTCAGTGGATAGTGGGACATTAAGATGTCAATGGTAGTAGGTAAGGATGTTTACAGGAGACAGGTACAGGTCAGATCCTGAAGGGACTAGGTTGTCTTTTGTTGTTGTTGTTTGGTTTTGTTTTTTCCTATATTGTAGAATTTTGTCTTTGTGGCTCATTTAAAATAGAAGATTATAAAAATTAACTTTTGTCGTGGTCCAAATGTTTATGTTTCCCCCAAGTTCATAAGTTGAAATTCTCACTCCTGGTGTCATTGCATTAGGAGGTGGAGGCTTGAGCAAGTAATTAGGTCATGAGAGCAAAGCCCTCCAGTGGAATTCAAACCCTTATAAAAGAAGACAAAAAGAAACTCTTTACCTCTTCTGCCCTATAAGGACTCAGTGGGAAAACTGTCTGTGAGGAAGCCAGCCCTCACCAGATACCTAATCTATCAGCACCTTGATCTTGAACTTCCCAGCCTCTAGAATTGTGAGAAATAAACTTTGTTGTTTATAGGCTATCTGCTTATGGTATTTTATTATAACAGCCCACATGGACTAAGACAACTTCTTTTTCAGAATGAATACTCTAGTGAGCACTGTGGAGGTTATACAAGGATAGAATGAAACTTTGAGGAGGTCCAATCAGAAAGCTATTATAATAATCCAGGTAAGAGATGAAGTGGGCACGAACTAAAGAAGCAACAATGAAAATACGAAAGCAGCTGAATTCTAGAGATATGCAGCAGTCAGAATTGACAATACTTGATGTCTGAATGGATATGAGAATTAAAGAAAAAGGAATTAAAAAGGCTTTTTATATTTGAAGGTTGGGCAACTGGATGAATGTTGGTTCCCAACACCAAAATAGTGTATAGGAAGAAAATATGATTAAGATGTGAGGTGGTTGCCAGAGTTTATATTTTATTTTGTGTATAATTCTTATTGTAGGAGGAAACTGAGGCTCACACTTGAGAATTCAGAACGGATCCTAGGACTTTAAACTTACGGTTTATTTTCCAGTCTGTTTCCTTTATCCTAGATTCTCCTGTACTATTCACTGGTATTGCTGAACATATTTCTAAATCCGTCTTTGTTCAAGGCTGCAGGTCCTTTCTTCCCTGGTAACCTCCAGTGATTTACTGCATGTTCAAATGTTTTTTGTTGAAATTACAAAAATGTTGGATTATAGTCATGTAACTCATTGAAAAAAAATAGAAAATTGGAATCCAGAAGGTGATTTGACAGAATTATTAGAAAATTGGTGGGACAGTGAATGTAGCAGTAATTCATTATAGAGACCCTCTACAGACTGCTAGTATGTATTATAGCATATTGGACAAAGTACTAACTAGATTTTAAACTGCAGACTAGAAGATTCAGTCAGCAATTGATGAAACTATTGAAACAATAGATAGCCTAATCACTGTGTTCTATTGATTTGGATGATATTTTTCATAGTCCTTCCTTTCCTCTGGAATGGGAAATGAATTAACACAGTTGCCTTATGTCCCCCTGAGTAGGTGCAGTAAATTTTATAAATTTACAATTGTGTTGTCATCTCCAAATCTCACAGCCAGGGTCAGATTATTTTTGTGATGCAGTTGTGATCCTGCAAGCACACCATGCAATACACAATTAATAACAGGGCCTAGATAGAGATGGCTGAATTAAGTATCCCATGGTTTCCTAGGCTAGAGAGACTAAGCAACTGTAGAATGATATAAATGCTTTTCCAACTTTGCTTACTGCATAAATTCCATCTGTATTTCTCAGGCAATTTCTCATCTCAATGTGATCAGATGTTACATGTGCTTGGGGACATAGTTATATTATGTCACTTTAGGCAAAATTAGAAATAAGCCAAGCTTATCTTGGCATCCAATTTGCACCTTTCCCTGCCTTTTTCCCAAGCTACTCTGCCTGGTCTCCTACTCCAACCTCTCCAGACACTCATTATTGTACTTTGCTCTTATTTTCTCCATCCTCAGTCTATTAAAAGCATTTTTTTTTTTTTTTTTTTTTTTTTGGTCAGGCGCAGTGGCTCACATCGGTAATTCCAGCACTTTGGGAGGCCAAAGTGGGCAGATCACAAGGTCAGGAGTTAGAGACCAGCCTGGCCAATATGGTGAAACCCTGTCTCTACTAAAAATACAAAAATTCGCCAGGCGTGGTGGCGGGTGCCTGTAGTCCCAGCTACTTAGGAGGCTGAGGCAAGAGAGTCGCTTGAACTGGGGAGGTGGAGGGTGCAGTTAGCTGAGATAGCGCCACTGTACTCCAGCCTGGGTGACAGAGAGAGACTCTGTCTCAAAAAAAAAAAAAAACTTTTTTTCAAGAAGGCACTAGAAACACTCCTTCACGCTAGGGCTTATATTTCTGATAAGACTTAAAGCATTACTCCTCTTTGTTAGATCAGTTTTTCCTTCAGCCATAGGAACTAGAAGTTCACAAGTGTAGGACTACAAGGTGCCAACAAACAAGTGGGTGATGGGGACACCACTCTAATTCTCTCCCCTGGTCAGACTACCATCACCAGGCTCCTATTAACCATCAACATTGTAAGACTGATAGTCTCCTTGCCTCTCTGCTTTTGCACCTAGGAAAAGTAAAGTATGCTAAAAGTGATTCGGATGTCCAAAGTGGCTCCCTCACTCTCTCCTCCCTACCAGACACCAGCAGCCTGTGGGGATATTCCAGGAGACTTTCTACTGCTCTATCAGCTCTCTCCACTGTATTTTGCTTGCTTGTTTTTTGTTGTTTATTTTTCCAGTAGGCCTCATGATTCAAAATGATGTCCTTCTTTCGTCTTTAAATGTTCTGATACATTCTGTCACTTGGAATGCTTCTTCCATTCAAATGGATTTCTTCTTTCCTCCATGTACTTCAGGCTTTCTGTGTTAGAAACAAATAAACAAACCTGCTAAAAAGTTTTTAATGTGGCTTAATGTTCACTCCTACAGGGCAGCATGCAACTGACAAGAAGAACAACAAAGAAGGGTAAGTTCTAAGGAATAGCCCCTTTGAAGCCTCAGAAAGAGTGGTTTCAATGTTCCACTTATAAAATCACAGAGCTGTCTTTTTTCCTGGTTCAGAAAAAAACAAAACTCAAGTTGAAAGCTGTATGTGGAAAAGGCAAAATTTTTATTGTTATTTCATTAAAACTAAGGTTAGAAAACTGAAAAAAATAGAAACATGGTAAATAGCATTTTTAAAGGAAGTAATAAAAACCTTCATAAATAAAATTATATATTTTCCTTTTTCCTACATTTAAGAAATACATTAATCTAGTTTTACTGATTGATTAAATTTAGGACATATGCCCAAAATAATCTAAAATTTTTATGAAGGCATCATTAGAGGAACTTGAATATTCTTAAATATATAGTACTTAACCAAATATAATATAAGCAATCATTAAACAGATGAACACTTTTATTCATTTCTTTGTTCCTAAAGATGTTTTTCTACAAAATCATGTAACATTGATGTCATAAAATACATAAATATGTATTTACTTAGAATATATTCACTGTTGAGCTGAGATTGCATCACTGTACTCCAGCCTGGGTGACAGAACGAGATTTTGTCTCAGAAAAAAAAAAAAAAAAAAAAAAAAAATATATATATATATATATATATATATGTATATATATGTATGTATCTATATATATATTCACTGTCACAGACAAAGGTTTTATTCTTCTCTAGGTATTCCTCCTTAGAGCCACTTTTTTCCTCAAAAATTCAAATATTCAGGAAAGACAATGCCTATGGTGACTAGGAGGAACAGGACTAGTTTAAACCAACATAAAATGTCCTCATCTGTCCTCTTAGCTGAAGTTAGTTAGGTTTTAGTGGTTATTTTCATCTTAGAAATGTATACCCAGAAGACCTAACATAATTTGTCTAGATAGAAAATTTTCAAACATGTTTATGCCAAATTATTTTTCCCCTATGATTTTCAATCCCAAATTGTCATGTAAATTCTAAAAATATGACTCCTGAGAATTTAGCAAAACCTAATTTCTCTTCAGGAATCTTTAGCAGAACATTGTGTGGACTTGATCAAGGAAAGACTTCATTTGTCAAATGGCTCAAAGCCTTCCCCAACTTCCACCCCTCTTACAATATCTTAGTATAAAAATCTTCAGGAGCTGAAAGAGGAAGAAATCCAAAACTAGTAGATGCCCATAGATGACAAACAGAAACAGAATCACCTTCTTCCATAAAGAGTTATTACCTTTGTGCCATGAAGGCTGATGGTGAATAAAGCATAACTTTTGCATTTGTCACATGCTACAGCCATCTTATGAAACATAATTTTCTGACTGTTGGTCAAGAAATCGACGGAGTATTTAAAAGACTTTGGAAATAACTTACTTAATGAAGGGATTATTTACAGAATTGGTGGCAGATTTACAAACACCAACCAGGGATGATGAGACGCCTAGGGATTAGCAATAGCAGGGAGCCATTTACCTTCCCTGTGCCTAAAGGAGCAAGGGAAGTAAAATTTGGATCTATAGGAGAGTGGCAGTCCTACAGTAGCTGTGGCCATAGAGGGATGTAGCCACTGGCACTGTTGGTACTGGGCACAGAGCTCGGGGAGATAGAGGCCAACTAGTAAAACACCATGCTTTCTGTTCTCCTTTTCTCTGATCCCCTATCAGTGTCTCTTATTGGTTGACTCCAAAGGGAAGCTTGGAAGTGAAAAAGCAAAGGAGATGCAGTCCACAGGGGTCAGCCTCCCTAATTACAAGCAGGGCACAGAAGGACAAACCTTGGATTATGGGGTTTTGGGGTTAAAAGAGAGTAACAGAATAACTGGTATGTTTGCATTGCTGTCTTTCTCATTGGGAGTAACTTGACATGAACTTCAAGGTTGAAGATAATATGTTTGATGCAGAGAGAACTGAGAAGTGGGAAAAATAATTGTAAGCCTTGTGCCTTTTTTCCTATTAGAAAAAAATACAGATTTTTAAATTTCTATTAGTGTTAAAATTTGTTTTCTAAGCATTAAAATGGTTAAAAAGAAAAACATGTTGGTTGTAAAAAAATTAAGCAAGGCAACCTATAAAGTCCCCTTTCACCTATGCTTTTCATTCCTTTATTTCTTCATAAATTCATTCATGGTGCTATTCGTTCAAAACATTTTAGCTAATAATAATAGCTCACATCTATAAATATGTGCCAAACAGACCTCAAAGTGTTTTATTTGTATTTAATCATCAGAACATTAAAAAAGTGCTACTATTATCCCAGTATGGCTAAAATAAAGTTAAGTAAATTGCTGAAGGCATAGAGTTGTTAATAGAAGTGGAATTGAAACACAGGCAGGTTGATTCTAAAGTTTTTGTTCTTAACCACTCTGCTGTGTTGTGATGAACAGATATTTACTGAGCACCCACTATGTGGCAGGGACTTTTCTAGGCATTGAACATACAGGGATAAAAACAATAAACTATGTTCCTGCTTCATGGAATATATCTTTCGGTGGTAGGTATAAGCAATAACCAAAGGCATTAATGTGCTTATAATTTCAGGTTGAAATAAATGCTATAAATAAAAATAAAGTAAGGTAAAGCATTAGAGGGGATAGGGGCTATGTTTTAGGATGAATAGGGCAGTCTCTGTAGCGATGATATTTGAATGATCTCACATCATTCATCAGAAACAAATGGTTTAAGAAAGGTACTTATGAAAAATGTGAATAAAAAATTTTCCAGACAAAAAGAAGAGTAAATGCCACAAGCCATAAGCTGTTGAAAGATAAGTAAAGCCAGTAAAGGTGTGAAGGGACACTAAATTGTTAATAAAAACTGATATGGTATTTATATCAGGTTCTGTTCTGGGGATTTTACTAATATTAACATTCAGCTTATTACAATAATATGAAGAATATCCTGTCGTATTCCCTAATTTATACACAACATAACTGACACTCACTGCCACATAACTAGTAAGGTAAGGATCTAGATTTCAAACCAAGGCAATATGGCTGGTTGATAGTGTCTCAACTATTCTGACACTGTTCTTCCCAGATTGATTCTCTAATTCACTACTGTTTTCCCTTCAATCATCTGTATCTTTATCTAATTTAAAATTTTTATAAATGATTCCTCAGAGTTGTTTTATTATTCTTCATTTTTAAAATTATCTATATTTTACATTTCTTTTTGTTCTTTGTTTTTTTAATAGCATCCTTTGTTTTAGTTTGTGGATAGATATACTGTAGATTTTGAAGATTTGTTTTGTTTTTGCTGTCCACATTGTCTTTGCTTATTTTTATTTTGTTTTTTTAGTAATCCTTGGAATTTCTTACATGGATTATTTTCCCAAAAGTCAAGTGAACCTTGGCTGTTTATTTGAAGAGGAAGACACCAAAAATTTGATTGGAGGCTCTGGATGAGTACCAGATTCACACCAGATTTTGAGGTGGTGAGCCAGTTTCTTCCTTGTGAGACAAGCAAATAACAATATATTTTTACTCTGGGTACATTTAATTTTTGTAGAGATGAATAGTTCAATCTCCTTCATGGTAGTGGTAAGGATAGGTTTTATATTTAGCTATTGGCATTCCTGAAACAGAATAAGATGCCATGGTCTTATAGTTCAGTGTGTAAACTTTCACAGCTTTTGCAAGTTTTCAGCCCAGTGTTAGCCCCCAATCACTGTGAATGTCCCCAAGTACAGAGCTTCTTTGGTTTTACTTTTCTGGTTTTATAGTGAGACAAAGGCATTCTGGGAAGTATAGCCAATTGAAATTGAGGCTTTAACAAATATTTACTGAGCACCTATTCTGTCATACACTTTTCTAGATGCTGGAAATACAGCAAGGAAAAATAAGTACACCATTACCTGAAGTCTTCTATTGCTTGTATAGTTCACTTTTTTAAACAGCTTGATGGACATTCTATTAACCATCCTGGCAATTGTGTGTGGTGTGAGGTAGTGATCTAACATCTTTTATAAAAACTAAATATTTAAATTTTATGTGTTGAAGGTATTTGTTTTGTTTTGCTCTTTTTGATTTTGATGCATGCATTTAATTTCAGAATATGGTTTATTTTTCTTGAATCACCAGAGAAACATCCATTTTACTCATTTTAACACCATCTCTTTCTTAAGTTAATTCTGTTTCTTTGGAGTTTTTCAGTTTGTTGATATTGATTTGTCTCTTTTATTGATGTGGCAACATTTTCTCAAAATATAGAAGATTGCTTTTATTTTTACATCGTGTGAAGAAGGAGGCATATTACTTTTTGAAAGATGGAGTGTATTTCTTAAGCAGTAACAAGTCATGCTCTTTATGTGACATCATTTTTTTATTATAGTAAAGTTTTCAGGTGATATTTGAGAGAGAGAGTCTGGATATGAGGTTGCATATAGTGAATGAATTATCACAAACACTGCTTTGATTATCAGGCCCTAGCAACCATGGTCACTCTAAGAGTGTCCTGTCAGAACTATGACTTTAGAGAGCAGTGTTGAGTGATTTAGCTTTGGTTCCTGTTCTTAAGTTGGCTGCTCTGAGTGTAGGGACCTACATTTAATTAATTTTATTTTGACAACGTCTCATGTTTTTCATCCTTCATTTCTTCTGTTCCTGGTTCTCTTCAGAGTTCTTTTAGGAGATAAATGTGTTTTGTTGTTTTCTTGCCGTTAATGTTTCCTTTCTTTCTTTTGTCTTTTTCTGTATTTAAATGCTCTCTGCCTTCTGGTTTCTATTTGGAGTAGTATGTTCTTCTGTTTTTTTAAGTAGATTTTGCTCCCAGTCTACAGTCATCTGCTTTATGCCATCTAGAATAGCCTCACTCTCTTAGTTTGCTCGTGATTATTGTGTGTTTCTCATGACTTTGCATTAAAAATATATTTATTGTGTAATTTCCTCTGGATTTAAAGAGGGGAAGATAGATTTCTGGAACTTTTCTTTCTTTCTGATATATCCTTTCTCCCTCTTTCTTTACCATCAATGACTTACTCTACCTGCCATTTATCTTCGCCTATGATTTAGAAGGTATGTAAGATGTTTTAATTTTAGTATTGTTTGTCTTTTTACCTGTGTTTGTTAATATACTTTGAGATTTGATACTCAGATTCTTGTCATCAAATCATAACTATAATTTATTTCTCCTCTTAAAATATAATTTTTTAGTTTTGCTTTTCATTTTTAACCATATTTGCAAGTTTACTTTAAAAAGAAATCTGAGAAATCGTGCTCTGATAATGTGAGAGTTGTAATTCATAGCATAAAAGGATAGCTCTCCATCTCTATATAGAGTGATTTGTTTTTCTTAACTGGGTCTATCTTTGCAGTTAGTAGAAATACCTTATGTTAATCAGTTCTAAATTTCAATGGATATCCTTTATTTCTTCTAACTTCTGGGATTTTTAGGGAAAGTTAGGAGAGGTTTCATCATGGATGCTCACCAAACAGTACTTCCTTATTCATCCCAATACCGAGTGCCTTTATAATGTAGACTTTTAATAGCTAAGCATTAGATTAATATTATTCCTCACCTTATACTCTTTTATTGTCTCAATACCTTGTTAAAGTCTCCTCTAGTATAGCTTGAGAAGTAAAGCTGAAAGACTTTATGCTCGTATTATTTCTTCAATGTTATTGATCTCATCTGTTGTTTTAAAAATATGTTTAAGGGAAATATTTATTTCCCTGGAAGGAAAAAGTGGCTCTTACAGTGCAACTAGATGATCTTAAATGCCTCCAATACATGTAGTGGCCAGTTGCTGGCAGAAGCAGAAGCACAATGTTTAAAAAATGGTGCATTGTATTCTTATAGATACATCTTCAAATTCTATTCATACTGAGTCAGCTTGATGAAAACAATAAAATCTTTAAGGAATAGTTTGTTTACCTCTTGCCCAGAACATTATAGCTATAACATTATAGTTCTGCTATTGTATTATGTTAGATACATAGATTAAATGATCTAAATGATAAAACTCAAGCATTTAAAGTGAAAGTACAAGAAGATAAGTTGTAGATGAAATATAATCAAGTTGAAAATAAGTATATTTTATATGAGCTTTTATATTAATTAAAGGTTCTTGTAAGAATTTGTTTAAAAAGAACAAATGTTAATATAGTAATATTAATATATATTTCCTTGCTATTATTACTTATGTAAGTATGGAAATTTAATTTTCTCAAAAACATGTAGTTTGATACACGTTCCTTTCTTCAATTCGTAGTCTTTCTCTGAGCCTTCCCTGGAAAGAAATCATGTCTAATAGTGACCATACAATAACACCATCAAGACACAACTCATTATTTATGAAAACTTCACTTCTCAGTAAATTATCTGAAATGTTTGATAGCTAATTTCTGCCAAACATTGTACATTTTCCCCTCATCAAATAAAACTATTTCCAAAGTACACAATAATCTTTTTATAGGATAGCAATTTGAATGGAAGTTAGTTTTTTTATACTTTTATTTTTACAACATGGTTAAGAGTAATTTTCTCTAAGTGGCATAAAGGCAGATTTCCTCAAGCAAAATCAAGCTAGTTAGCTACTGTTGCATGGCTACTACAAAGGCGGAAGAGTTCTGGGTGGTATAAAGGGAACTTCTGGACAAATACATTCTTTTAAGCCTCTTTAGTATCCAGTAACATTATCTCTAAATACAAAAAAGTCAATCTGATCCACAAAAAGACTGTGGCATGCAGATGTATGCAACTGATTTAAGAAAATTATGAAGTTTCTTAATGCTGTAGAATGAAATATAGAAAAGCTTGAATGGGCTTTACAAATTATACCATTGAAATGAAATGTGATAATAATGTCTGCCAACCAAATTCAGTGTTCTCTTTGTGTCACTAAAATCAAATGTGCAAAATAAAGCCTCAACCAAACAGTAATGTTTGGGATTCCTTAGAATGGTTTGTACAACATTTATAAATGTTCTAAGGAAGTCAGTTTAGTTAGTAGCTGGAATGCAATATTATTTCAAAGCCCACACTGATCTTTATCTTAAAACCAAATGTCACTCAGAATCTAACATAGAGAAGAGTTTTTTTCAAATTAAATCGTGTTTTAAGATGTAGTGTAATGTTTAACAACTCAAGGCAGGACTTGAGTCAATGTTTATATACTCAAATTTATATTCTTCACTGATTCTATTTGGAAATATGTTCTTAAAAATGGACATTGCCACAGTAAATGCATTTCCAATGAACTGGTTTTATTACATTTAACATATAAATTCTTCATCACTAGGCATGCTACTGACTTTTCATGTTGCTTACATACAGAAAGAGGACAAACATATTAGAGTAAAATGACTGTTTGATCTTCATGACAATTATATTTCTCCTTGTAAGTTCATAAATGATTATTTTGACATGTCATTATCAATGTATCTAACAGAGCCTGGCATACATATAGTAGGTGAAATATATATATATATATATTTCATGTTTGTGTGTATATATTATAAAAATATACAACTGTGTATATATGTGTGTATATGCATAGTGTATGAAATATATATTTCACATACATATATGTGAAAAATATACACACACATATATACATGCACACACATATATACATAAATATATGTGAAATATATAAAATATATGTACATACATTTGAAATATATATTTTATATTTACCATAAAATATGCTATATATACTATATATACACACATATATTATACACACATATATATTTCATTTGTTTTTGCTTTCATTTGTTTATTTCTGCATAGAATCCTATAATTCTATATACAGCATCAACTAAAAATCCCAATTACCCTATGTTTAGGCACATTGACATGACTTATTTTCTGAGTTATTAAAGTAAAGAGACTGACTTTAGGCACTACTGAGTTCACCAAGTTAAAGGCCATCTTGGAAAGATCTCTCTTGGTGGCCAGTTATCTTCTCCTAGGTGACACTACTGATTTTTTATGATGATAATTATACCTTGACATAACACATAGAGTGGGTATGGTTTAAAGGTTTTATATGGATATTCCTTAATAAGTAGTTTGTTACTTGGAGATAAATGGTAATTCATAGCAATATATTTAACTGCATAACTGAGACTTTTTTAGAAAGTAGAATATCCTTCCTACTTCCTAAAAATCTTGAGATTGAGAGACCCTTAAGCTAAAAAATCAAATAAAGCTTTTGTCCAACATAGATAAAACATAGACATAATTTACCATCACCCTCACCTGCTTCTATTCTGAAATGACACAAAATGGACAAACACAATGGTTTCCAGAAAGTGACCATCAGACAATGAAGAATGATAATTTCTAAGTGATGGGAAACACATGAGATGAGCCCAGTTATATAGCTTATTCTCTTGAGCTACCAGAGTAGGGCACAGGGAGAGGATGCACAGGCAAATCCCAGTAAACTCTGCCTCGAGCACATGAAGAGTTCATAAAGAGCATACAGGAGAGTAGAGAGCTGTGGTTAGAAAGAATTTCAGGGAACTACAGAAAGTCTCTTCAAGCATTCAGCTAATCATCGAGTGAGTGCATATGAAGAAACTATGCAAGCCTGGGGGATGAACTTCCCAAAAGGATGTGAGGGAACAACGACACAGCAATACACGAGGTTTAGAAGATTGCCTGTACGCACCAGCCAGATTGGAAGATCTCATGATTCACAGTACACAGCATAGAGTACTCATAAAAATTTTGTCTCAATACTTGTAATTTCCTCTAGACTGGGCATGACTCTGTTTATGACTAATAAACCATAAAAACCCAAGTGTTTAAAGCCCTTCCAACAAACAACTTTTTCCTAGAAAAAAAATCTGTAATACAGAAATATAAACATATTCAAAATATAACAAGATTAACAATTTCTGACATCCAACCAAAAATCATTAAACATTTAAAGAAGCCAGAAAATGCAAACCAAAATGAGGAGAAAAACTGACCCACAACTGTCAGAAATGTTAGAATCAGCAAACGATGACATTAAAATATTATAACTTCATTTCATTTTTTCCAAAATTTAAGGAAAGATATGAAGGATATATATTTAAAAATCCCAACTCAAACTTCTAGAAATGAAAACAACAGCATATGGGGTGGAAAATAACTGCACTGATAATGGAGTTGATGTGGCAGAAGAAAAGGGAAGTGAAATTTAAAGCATAGCAATAGAAATGATCCAAACCACGAGCAAAGAGAATAAAAATAAATAAACAAAAATGAGCACAGTGTCAACGAAATGTTGGACAACTTTTAGCAGCCTAAACATATGTATACTTGGAGTCCTCCATGGGGCAGAAGCAAATAAGAGAGAAAGGAGGATTAGGAAACAAAATATTTGAAGAAGCAATATCAAAATTTATCTACATTTGATCATAGCTATAAACCCATAGATCTAAAAATCCCAATGAACCCCAAACACAAGAAATAGGAAGGGAACTGCACAAAGGTAAATTATAATAAAATTGCTCACATCCAGCAATAAAGACAGACTCTTGAAAGTAGTTATAGATACATTATGTGCACAGGAACAAACATAAGGATGACAGATTTCTTGCTGAAAACACTGCAACTACATATGTACAAAAACTCTTGTATATAAATGTTCCTAGAGGCTTTATTTGTAATATTCCAAAACCGGAAACAAACCAAATGTTCATCAGAAGGTGAATATGTACCAAACTGTGGTATATTCATGCGATATCCATGCAATGGAATACTACTTAGCAATGAAAAGGAATGAAATATTGACACATGCTATAAGATGGATGAATCACAAAATAATTATGCTGAGCGAAGAGGCCTGACCGAAAAGAAGTAGAGATGACCCTTGAATAACACAGGGGTTAAGGGAACCAACCCCCTGTGCAGTAAAAAAATCCATGTATAATTTTTGATTTCCCCAAAACTTAACTACTAATAGCCCACTATTTACTGGAAGCCTTACTAATAACATAAACAGTCAATTAACACATATTTTGCCTGTTATATGTAATATATCACCATAAAGGTCTTCATCCTCGTTGTCTTTATGTTGGGTAGACCAAGGAGGAAGAGAAAGAGAAGTTGTTTTTTTTGTCCTGGGGTGGCAGAGGCAGAAAAGGTAAAGGAAGTGGAAGAGGAAGCAGGAGAGGCAGACAGGAATATTCAGTGTAAATTTTGTTTTAAAAAAATCCATGTACAAGTGGACCTGTGAAGTGCAAGCTCATATTATCCAAGGGTCAACTGTACATATTTTGTGTTTTTTATTTACATAATTTCTAGAAAATAAAAATTTACGAATAGTGACAGAATGTTGTTTAGTGGTTGCCTGGGGATGGAGTAAACAGTGACTGGAGGGACATCTTTAAAGGGTCCCAAGGAAACTCTTTAATGTGATGAATGTTTCATTATCTGGAGTGTACTAATGGTTTCACAGGCATATGCATTTGTAAAAATATATCAAACTGTATAGCTAAATATGTGTAGTTCAACACATGTCAATTACAATACAATAAAACTATGGGGGTTAGTGATTAAACTTACTGTTAGGAAAAAATTACCTCAATACATTTGCACATATATATATATATATGCACATATACACAAACACACACACATACATAGATATACATACCACCAAAAAAGTCAATATAATTTAATCCAATTATTGGTAAATCTAATTATTAAGAAAACTGTAAATTAAAAAATTAAAGATGTAAGAATCTAGATGTATAGAATAATGTAATTTTACAGCTGGAAGCAATCTTAGAAACTACCTAATTTGAAGTCCTCATTTCTTGAGTCATAGTCTTATTTATTTATTTATTTATTATTATTATATGTTAACTTTTAGGGTACATGTGCACAATGTGCAGGTTAGTTACATATGTATACATGTGCCATGCTGGTGCGCTGCACCCACTGACTCTTCATCTAGCATTAGGGATATCTCCCAATGCTATCCCTCCCACCTCCACCCACCCCACAACAGTCCCCAGAGTGTGATGTTCCCCTTCTTGTGTCCACGTGTTCTCATTGTTCAATTCCCACCTATGAGTGAGAATATGCGGTGTTTGGTTTTTTGTTCTTGTGATAGTTTACTGAGAATGATGATTTCCAATTTCATCCATGTCCCTACAAAGGACATGAACTCATCATTTTTTATGGCTGCATAGTATTCCATGGTGTATATGTGCCACATTTTCTTAATCCAGTCTATCATTGTTGGACATTTGGGTTGGTTCCAAGTCTTTGCTATTGTGAATAATGCCGCAATAAACATACATGTGCCTGTGTCTTTATAGCAGCATGATTTATAGTCCTTTGGGTATATACCCAGTAATGGGATGGCTGGGTCAAATGGTATTTCTAGTTCTAGATCCCTGAGGAATGGCCACACTGACTTCCACAATGGTTGAACTAGTTTACAGTCCCACCAACAGTGTAAAAGTGTTCCTATTTCTCCACATCCTCTCCAGCACCTGTTGTTTCCTGACTTTTTAATGATCGCCATTCTAACTGGTGTGAGATGGTATCTCATTGTGGTTTTGATTTCCATTTCTCTGATGGCCAGTGATGGTGAGCATTTTTTTCATGTGTTTTTTGGCTGCATAAATGTCTTCTTTTGAGAAGTGTCTGTTCATGTCCGAGTCATAGTCTTAGAATTTAAGAAAGCTGGAAGAAGCTGTGTGAAATAGCCTACCCATATTTATTATGTTGCAAATAGTGAACCCAATTCCATAGAAGCATGCTGCCTTGTGAGAAAATATCTCCTGATTAGTCTAGAGGTGTTTCCATTTTTATCATATTATCTCAATTAATTTATATATGCTATTCTTGTATATTTTCAATTACGTCTTTCTCAGAATGCAAAGTTAAATTGCCATTGACTTTACCTCAGTTAATCGTCATTGTTAAATTGCTATCATTTGTCAGCTGATGAAAAATTTAAATGCCTCATTTAGGAGCACATCATTATTTCAGCAAATTTATGACATTGTGTATCTATTTTCATACAGTCTTTGAGCTTTATATTCCTAACAAAATGTCTTTTTGGACTTCTTCTGTCTTAGATGGTTTGAACAGCCACAATTCTTGTTTTAGGTATTCTTATCTAGTCCTATTGCTTGATCTCTTGACTGTTCAAAAATCTGAATTCTATGATTTTGTTTGTACTTTAATTTATACCTGCAAGGCTGATTTTGCCAAAGTCTTAATCATTCCAATCTGTTGCTCAAAACCTGGTCAGGATCCACTGTTTCTTTTTTTAAATGTTATGTTTTCACATAATGGTAAAGAACTTCCATATCCAAACTCAAATTACCTTTATGGCCTTCTTTATTTCTACGCTTCTGCATGTAATAATTTGGACTGCTTGTATTTACTTAAAAGAAAATGTCAGATATTTATTTCATTTGCCTAAAATATTTCTCATTTTGATATATAGTTGTTGAGATCACACTAGTCTTCACATTCCAGACTAAATACCACCATCCACCATCTCAAACAAGCATCGCCTGTTCATACAAACCACAAGTAATATCTCCGTTCCTTGTATTTAATTCTGCTGCCTTGCCTTAGAATATGCATTTGATTTTGACTAAAATATCTACATCTGCCAGCATATAAATAGAAATAAAAATTTAAATACAACTTCCTGTATGTTCAGCTAGGGATAGCATATGATAAATGTGATTATAACACAGGAAGTAAACCTAAAAGGATGTAGTCCTCATTAATCTTGTAGTCCTGAACAATGTATAAATTGTTTTCCGCCCTCCAAAATGCAGAATATTTTGTGTAATTCCTTGTATTTCTCTCCTTTCTGCTACAGAATATAAAATAGAGAAAAATCCATTTCTGGTGCTACCAGATAGCAACAGTAGTCCTAAATTGGTGTAAAACCATATGATAATTAACAGAAAAAACAACTACACAAACTTCTTTGATGAAGACTCAGTGATAAAGCCAAAGTCTTGAGCAATTGTATACAGATGTTGAAAATGTTCAATTTTTGCTGTCTGTACAAATATGAAACATACAAAGCTATCAGAAGTAGTCCACCAAAGATGATTCAGGTATGAAAAGAATGAAAACCTATAAGGTATTCATATCTGAAGGAGGGTGGGATGAGGGAGAGGGGCAGAAAAAATAATTATTGGGTACTAGGCACCGTATCTAGGTGATGAAATAATGCGTACAACAAACCCCTGTGATCCAAGTTTATCTAAAAAGTAACCTGCACATGCACCTGTGAACATAAAATAAAAGTTAAAAAAAAGCATAATAAGTCATTTTCTAACTGAGGAGACTATAGGGTACCAGGTTGCATTTCATTTTTTCATGAAATAGCTATACTCACATTAACTGTTATTTGTGCTTTGGGGAACACTTTTTTTTTCCACTCTGAGTCATGTAACGTCAAAGGCAAAATGAGCAGTAGTGGCCGGTGGTCTAGCTTTGGTTGTAGGTCTCCTCTGCCTTTCATCTACCTACCTCTAATCTTAAGAAAGGTATTGTCCACATGATCTTGGTATTCTCCCATCATTCCACACTGGTATTTTAAGACAAAAACCAGAATGATAAAACTTACTTATTTGCTGGTCCAGGAATTCTATACTCTTTGTGCCTCACATTGAAGGTTGTTGGTAAACTTTTAATTCCTCAAGATAATCACAGCACCTTAAATTTGCCTGTTTCTATAAGAGTGGGAGGCATTTTTATGTAAATAATCTCTTTTGATCATTATACAATATTTTGACGTAACTAATGAATTATTATTGTCCTCACTTTGCAAATGTTCTGAGCCAGGCCTTGTGATTAGTGTTGTCGATACGTTATTGAATAAAATTGGCATGGTTTCTTTCCTCATGAAAATTAGAGTTCTATAAGCAAAGTAACAAATTACAAAGACACTTTTCATAAAGCTTTCTCCAGGTGAAGGGATCAGTTAGGATTTAAGTATTACAAACTGTGCTAAGTCTTGTGAAGAAAGAAATAGGGCTCCAGAAAGAGAATAATAAGAGGAAAGTATTTTGTTTGGGGAGTCATGGAAACTCTCCCTGAGGTGGTGACCAGGAAGTTAAGATATGAGGTGCAAGAAAGACCCAGCCACATCAAGAGTTAAAGGGAAAAAAGGTCTCCTGATTCTGGGAATCACTGTAGGAATGTCCCAAAGTTATTCATCTAGTTAGGAAGCAGAGCTAAAATTTAGCAGAAATTTCTGAAAATGATAATTCACATTTGCCTAGCTCTTTTCAAAGTGCTTTCATGTGTATAATCTCATTTAATAATTATGCTATGAGGTGGAAAACTTGGAGAATGATTGATAGGTAGAAAATTTTCCATCCTCCTTTTGACTTAGATTCTATTATTAATTGTGAAGGAAAAAAATCTAAGATTAGGTAAAAGACATTCTGAGTGGCATATGAATTGTTTGTAGGTAAAATATTCAATAAGATATTTCCCATTTGTCAGTGTTGAGAGTGAAAGCATCCCCCAAATATTCAGAACATGTGATTAGATGCTAATCATTTGCCTTCAGTGAGCCCACACTGTGTTCAGAGCTTTAGGTGAAGTATTTTAAGGGAAAAATTGACTTCATAGAGCTATAAGTTAAGTTTTAAAACATTCTAAAAATCTTTAAATGAGGAATTAGGATACATACATACACATGTATAAATATTTCTAAGTGACATATGTGTGTGTGCATATATCCATGTGTATACATACATTTTTAAATTCTCTAAGCAATATGTACCGCCTATATACAAATGTGTAGGAATGTATACATGATGCTTACAGTTATTTTAAAGTGTATATATAAAAGACTGACCATAAATATGCTTTAAGTCACACAGTCTGTACCACATTTTTCTCCATCTATTAAAAATGACAATCGTATTAACTTGCCTATAATTAATATATCTTAGTAAAGACTATGACTGAAAAAAACATTAAAAGACAATACATTATTAAATTTCAAAAACATCAGGCCGTGAACTTTTGTAAAATAATTTATTCATGTAGACAATTTATTAAAGTAATCACTCATGTAGAATTTCAAAATATTATTTTTGTAAACTTTTTTGTGTTCTATGTTCAAATGCAGAAGTATGCATTAAATTGTTCATTTTATTATGTGTATTTTTCAGAAGTTATTTTAAATAACCTTCTTTTCAACGTACAGGAGATGTTATAGTCTTTACTCAGCAACTAGAGTGGTTCTTTTAAAACACAATGAACACATGAATAAAATGGGTTTAAAGAATGCCTACACACAGATGTGTAGAAATGCTAAGTATCAGTATACTGTTTAGTTCCAAAGCTCAAAACACTGCACTGGCAGACCCTCTCACCCAGTCAAAGCCTAAGTGTTCCAGAGGCCCACAGTACCACATAATTTGCTCTCCTGACAACTCTTATTTTATCTTCTAACATTTCCTGCTTGTATATTCTACAACAGCCACATTGGCATTCTTGGAACATACAAAAAATGCTCCTGTCTCATGGTCTTTCCACCTGTTCCCTCTGCCTGGAGGATTTTTTCCTCAAATAAACATTTGAGTCACTTCCTCATTTTCTTCAGAACTCCAGTCAAATGTCACCTCATCAGAGATGTCTTTCTGCACTACTGTTTAAAAATTGGACACATATTCTCCTAGTGTTCACTAGTTCTCTTATTCTGTTTTATTATTCTTCATGGTGCCTATCACCATTCAACAAATAATTTTAGTATTTTTTTTTACTTCTTCTATTGTAATATAAACTCATAAAGGGAGGGAGTGTGTCCTTTTGTTTTGTGTTAAGTCTTCATCCTAGGAGAAAGTGGACACTCAATAAATGTTTGTTGGGTGGTGGAAAGAGAGTGTTGTACAGAGAAGTAGTGAAAAGTTTTTGCTATCACACTAAACTCTTCATAGTAATGGGTTGCCTACCTAGTGACTATGTAGCAGTTTTTCTTATATTTCCCCCTTTGAGAAAAACGATGTAATCATTTGGCCAAGATGGAGATCTTTATGTATATAACATTCATCTCCTGTAACAAGGAGAGCAAACACTAATGAATGCAATGAGGAAAGCAGCCTATTTTCAGAGAAGTACACACATTTATTTACTTTTTAACTCTCTAGTAGGGGAAACAATCACAGACTATTTGATAAGCAAAGGACCTTAGATGTTACCTGAAACACCTTCATTAGCAGAAGGGAAAAATGACACATGTAGAGGCAAGAAAGACACAAAGCCAATGAATGGAGGAGCCAGCGTTACCTTCCATTCTTTTCTAATTATCAAACCCAGCCATACCACTGTGTCCTCATTTTCATTACAATGCCGAATAAAGTTACAAATCAATCAAAAATTTTTTACAAGTGATAGATAAATAAGGACAAGGGTAAAACAGTTTGTAGCTAGCAACCAATGGATAAACAATAAATTGCAATAACCAGAATAATTAGAGCCACAAGAAGGAATGTTGACAAATTTGCATATTCAGAAGAGCCAAAAATATTCTTATTAGGGTAGGTATCTGCTGGTCATAATCTTTGATCAAGAGGTACCATGTTTTGTCTTCAGATGGCCCCAAAACTTTTTTCATATATGGAAAGACCTGTTTACTAAAAAGTTTACTGGTGAATTTCATGTGTTTTTTGGGCTTTTATGCTTCGCAAGTCTCCATACACCATCTTGGTTATCACAGTTCAATTTTTATATTTGGTATAAAATTTGTCAACAATAACTGACATAAATATTTTTGCTAGAATTCATACTTATGAAAATGCTTCCAATTTAACTAGAGATGAAACAAAAAATTACAGATATAAAATACACCAATAAGATCAACAGAAGAAAACATAATGTACGCAAAATTCTAATTTCAATGTATATTATAAGGTTATGTGGTATCAAGAATGGCTGTAAGTCCACTTTAACAATGGGGCAGATCATTGTCTTCTTGGAATATTTATGTTGACTGTACTGAATTTTAACAGAAAGTTTGAGGATAGATGATCCTTTAGGGCTAATCATTTATTTTTTATAAATATGGAGCAAAGAACCAAATCCCTGTTCCTGCATGTTCCAGATGTTTGACCTCAGACAAGTTAGTTAACCTCTTTGTAAATGTTTTCTCCTGTATAAAATGGAGATGATGATAAAGTCTACCTGATAGGTTTGTCATGAAGATTAACTGATTTATTATATGCAAAGCACTTAGAACAATGCCTGGCACAGATAGGTACAATTGAAGGGCTTACTACTAACATTATTGCTACTACTTCTCTATTACTCTTACTGTTGTGTAGTTGCTGTTTCAGGGATTCACAGAAATTCAAAATATGAAAGTTTTACTTACTTTGGTTTTTGTTATTCCACTTTGGTTTTCTTCTAAACCTAGATTCTCTATTAGATCAAAAAAGTGGGCCAGAAGAGAGAGAGAGAGAGAGAGAGAAAATAGAGAGAGAGAGAGAATAGAGATAGTCCTGGACACAGGACCTGGCAAAGATTTCATGACAAAGACTTCAAAAACAATTGCAACAAAAATAAAAATTGACAAATGGGTTAAACTGAATAGCTTATGCATAGCAAAGCAAAATATCAACAAAGTAAACAGACAACCTACAGAATGGGAGAAAATATTTTCAAACTATGCATCAACAAAAGTCTAATGTCAACAATCTATAAAGAACTTAAACAAATTAACAAGCAAAAACAAAACAATCCCATTATAAAAGGTCAAAGAACATGAACAGACACTTCTCAAAATATCTACATGTGATCAACAAGCATATGGAAAAATGCTCAATATCAATGATTGTTAGAGAAATGCAAATCAAAGCCACAATGAGATACCATCTCACAACAGTGAGAATAGCTACTATTAAAAAGTCAAAAAATAACAGATGCTAGTGAGGTTGAGAATAAAAGGGAATGCTTATACACTGCTGGTGGGAAGGTAAATTAGCTCAGCCATTGTGGAAAGGAGTGTGGCAATTTCTCAAATAACTTAGGACAGAATTACCATTCAACTTAGCAATCCCATTATTGGATATATTCCCAAAGGAATATAAATCATTCTACCATAAAGACACATGCATATGTATGTTCATCACAGCACTATTCACAAAAGCAAAGACATGGAATCAACCTAAATGCCCATCAACAGTAGACTGGATGAAGAAAATGTGGTACATATACACCATGGAATACTATGTACACCATGAAATACCACACAGCCATGACAATGAATGAGATCATATCCTTTGCAGCAACATGGATGGAGCTGGAGGTTATTATTTGAAGTGAACTAACAACAGACACTAGGGCTTGCTTGAGGGTAGAGGGTAGGAGGAGGGTAAGCATTGAAAAAGTACCTATCAGGTATTGTGCTTATTACCTGGGTGATGCAATAATCTGTACACCAAACCCCCATGACATGCACTTTACCTATATAACAAACCTACACATGTACCCCTGAATCTAAAATAAAAGTTATAAAAAAGAGTATAAAGAGAGGGAAGAGGAAAGTAAGACACACACACACACACACACACACACACACAGAGAGAGAGAGAGAGAGAGAGAGAGAAGAAACTCGAAGAAGAATCCAGTTAAGAATCTGGAGGAAAGGAAATGCAATTATGGCATAATGGAGGCAGAATGGTGAAAAACCCAGGAGAAGGAGGAATTGGTGATAGCCTTTTCAGATTAAAGTAAGAGAAAGGTTTGACTCTTTGGAGTTTCAGTTGATGAAAACTCAAAAGCAGATTATAAGTTTGTGCATGCATATGATCCATATGGGCTCAAACTGGTCTATGTAAACAACTGCCTGCAAAGTTCTCCAAGATTTCATCCCTGGAAAAAGTGACACTAAACGCCCCCTTCCAAGAACTGCAACTGAGGCAGTTTTTCCCCTCTGAGTTCTTTTTTTTTTTTTTAATTATACTTTAAGTTTTAGGGTACATGGGCACATTGTGCAGGTTAGTTACATATGTATACATGTGCCATGCTGGTGCGCTGCACCCACTAACTCGTCATCTAGCATTAGGTATATCTCCCAATGCTATCCCTCCCCCCTCCCCACACCCCACAACAGTCCCCAGAATGTGATGTTCCCCTTCCTGTGTCCATGTGATCTCATTGTTCAATTCCCACCTATGAGTGAGAATATGTGGTGTTTGGCTTTTTGTTCTTGAGATAGTTTACTGAGAATGATGGTTTCCAATTTCATCCATGTCCCTACAAAGGACATGAACTCATCATTTTTTATGGCTGCATAGTATTCCATGGTGTATATGTGCCACATTTTCTTAATCCAGTCTATCATTGTTGGACATTTGGGTTGGTTCCAAGTCTTTGCTATTGTGAATAATGCCGCAATAAACATACGTGTGCATGTGTCTTTATAGCAGCATGATTTATAGTCATTTGGGTATATACCCAGTAATGGGATGGCTGGGTCAAATGGTATTTCTAGTTCTAGATCCCTGAGGAATGGCCACACTGACTTCCACAATGGTTGAACTAGTTTACAGTCCCACCAACAGTGTAAAAGTGTTCCTATTTCTCCACATCCTCTCCAGCACCTGTTGTTTCCTGACTTTTTAATGATCGCCATTCTAACTGGTGTGAGATGATATCTCATAGTGGTTTTGATTTGCATTTCTCTGATGGCCAGTGATGATGAGCATTTTTTCATGTGTTTTTTGGCTGCATAAATGTCTTCTTTTGAGAAGTGTCTGTTCATGTCCTTCGCCCACTTTTTGATGGGGTTGTTTGTTTTTTTCTTGTAAATTTCTTTGAGTTCATTGTAGATTCTGGATATTAGCCCTTTGTCAGATGAGTAGGATGCGAAAATTTTCTCCCATGTTTTAGGTTGCCTGTTCAGTCTGATGGTAATTTCTTTTGCTGTGCAGAAGCTCTTTAGTTTAATTAGATCCCATTTGTCAATTTTGGCTTTTGTTGCCATTGCTTTTGGTGTTTTGGACATGAAGTCCTTGCCCACGCCTATGTCCTGAATGGTAATGCCTAGGTTTTCTTCTAGGGTTTTTATGGTTTTAGGTCTAACGTTTAAATCTTTAATCCATCTTGAATTGATTTTTGTATAAGGACCTCTTCAAGGAGAACTACAAACCACTGCTCAAGGAAATAAAAGAGGATACAAACAAATGGAAGAACATTCCATGCTCATGGGTAGGAAGAATCAATATCGTGAAAATGGCCTTACTGCCCAAGGTAATTTATAGATTCAATGCCATCCCCATCAAGCTACCAATGACTTTCTTCACAGAATTGGAAAAAACTACTTTAAAGTTCATATGGAACCAAAAAAGAGCCCGC
The DNA here is from genome assembly GCF_000001405.40 of Homo sapiens. NCBI lineage: Eukaryota > Metazoa > Chordata > Mammalia > Primates > Hominidae > Homo > Homo sapiens. The sequence goes on from NC_000002.12 coordinate 154,990,081, forward strand.
ATCGCCAAGTCAATCCTAAGCCAAAAGAACAAAGCTGGAGGCATCACACTACCTGACTTCAAACTATACTACAAGGCTACAGTAACCAAAACAGCATGGTACTGGTACCAAAACAGAGATATAGATCAATGGAACAGAACAGAGCCCTCAGAAATAACGCCACATATCTACAACTATCTGATCTTTGACAAACCTGAGAAAAACAAGCAATGGGGAAAGGATTCCCTATTTAATAAATGGTGCTGGGAAAACTGGCTAGCCATATGTAGAAAGCTGAAACTGGATCCCTTCCTTACACCTTATCCCCTCTGAGTTCTTATATGAGTGTCACTCTAGACCATGAGCTATGTATAAGCAGTACTGAAGAATGCTAACTGTGTGGTTACGATACTCACTGTATGGTTAAGTATTCCAAACTGCCTTGCCAAATGAGTGTTGTTTATTTGGAAGTTACATCAAAATTTTTAAAAATCATGCAATATATGTGGGGAAGAGTGCATCACAGACTGAATTAATGATTTAAACATAGAGCCATAATTCTAGGAGCTAATTGCAAAATGAATCAAGGTATTAATTGAAGAAATGTTTGAATCACCGTATAACTCTAAAATAATTACTTTTTCGAAATATAAATGTATAACATTGGTAAATAAAAGAAACATTCAAGCACCTTTGAAAGAGAAAGAAAGCAAGAAATCAAGTGGTTTATTTGCAGGCACATTGATTCATGCAGATACACTACTGAAAATGATTACATAGGAATAGAGAAAAAAACACAGGCATTACTAGAAGCTGGCATTTGAAATAGATATACATTTTTAAAGACTGACATCTACCGAAAATTAGAACTATTGACATGAAATAATTTTATTTCAACCCAACTTTGGGGGCTATTATGCTGAAGCCCTAACGAAATAAATACAATGTTAAATTCTGAGCAAGTTTTATTTTTCTAAAGTTTTTTATTTTTATTTCATTTTTTTTTTTTTTACAGCTGAGACTAGGCAGGAAAATTGTAGTTCACTCTTAATTATAGAGTTGCAAAAGCAATGCTGTAATTAGAGCTGTGAAAATTGTCTGGCGACAAATTTTCTTTGTAGTTTGAAGGAGTGAAAAGTCCTATTGATAGTATTTGATATGAGTTTCACCAAAGTACACCAAAGGGATACACTAACTTCTTAATATTTCTCTAACACTTTGAATGTGACAACTGCTAATTGTTATTATTCTAGTATGTGGTAGCCATTTTTAAATATTCAGGCTTGTATTTATAAAAGTTTTGCCACTTTTATAACTGCAATTTTATATTTAGAAGATTAGAGACATGGGCAGGATATAAATACCAACTGAACACTAGAGTCAAAGCTTTTACTCTCAATTTTTATATCGCATCAAAAGTATTATCTGCATGTAAATAGTAGACATTCAGTGATTTGTAACTAGTCATCATCTGATCAAACCTCCCAATTTCAACAAAGTTTATCTAAACTCTGCAAGACAGTTGGCTACTTTGTGTCTAAAAGTGTTTAGGAACTTTCATGTTGGCTTGTTTCAATATTAATTATTTTTACTGAGAGGACAATTAATTCCCTAATCTGTTATAACACTTTCTGAGTCACTTAAGCAGAACTCTAAAAATAAGAAGATGGATTTAATTTCGATTTTGAAATTAAGTTTCTTAACTTGATATTCCTGGCTTTATTAATTTAAACCTAAATATATAGAAATGAAGTTTTTGCTATATTTGTTGTAAAAACTAGCACAGCTCATAGAAATATTAAAAAGTAAGAAATTGAATAGATTGATAGCATTGTTTTGATTGTTACTGTTATTTTAGTAAATAATCTGAAATAAATTAAACATTTTAAAGCACAATTTAGAAAAAAATATGCAGAATACAGAGAATGGAATCTAGAGACATTTATGGAATTTAAGAAGCTATTTTGTTCAATTCCCAAGTCTAGCTCGAAATTTGTTCCAGGCTCAATATGCTGCAGTTTTTAGGAATAACCTTCTTCTATGCAGAAGAAATATGAGAAACTATTGACCAGAAACTTATAATGAAATTAAGGAGGTGTTAATTCTGCTATGGCCACATATTAAGGTTCCAGAAAATGGGCTTGCTTTTTTTCCTTTTTATTCAATGTTGTTTAAGAAACAACAAAGAAAGGATTAAAACATATTTGCTTTACATTAAATAAAAATTAACTCATGCTTTTTTGGAAAGGATACACACAAACAAATGTCTGGTCTTACTATCCTAGTCAAAGAAATATATGTATTTTTAAATAAAACATTATTGTCTTTATTGTCTTTATATACAAAATACCAAATCAGAGAAAACTTTCAAAGTTTTCCCTTCACATATATCTATTAGAAAATGGTTATTAAAAGAGGGATAATGGTAACTCCACATTTTAACTATTTTACTAAAATGTATATTGAAGACATATTTTATAATGTTATTTATTTCATATATACAAATATGAGTAGGAGGAATTTGTAGCTCAGGTAATATTCTTTTCCGCCCTTTGGTATACAAAGCTGAGGGCCTTTGTTTGACAGCCTTCATGGGCTTTTGTTGCTGAAAGCCGCTTTTCAGGTGTCATTTGACTGTCTCCTAGGAGCCTTTGTTGTTCAAAGTCTTTTTAGTCTCATTTTCTGCTATTTAGGTCTTTTCGGTCTCATTTTCTGCTCTTTGGGCCCATAGGAACAATTGCTTTTCCAGCATTTGAAAAAGTTTAAGCCCTGGATTCTCTATCATCCATCCTCAGTTTGTTGCAGATCAGCTAGCTTATACCACATCGTATTGCTTTCTGAAACATCCTGTTAAAAGCAGCAAGGAGAAGCCAACAGACTCTGACATATTGACTCCTTTCCAACCACTTCTCCTACAGCTACACACTCAGTAGGGACTTTGTAAGCCTGCCAAATTATCATAAGCTGCTGCTTTCCCAAATGTTTACTGTGACGTAAAAAGGATTTCCAGTTTTCCTGTTGGCTGAATCTGTTTCCTTGTTGCACAGTTACTGACAGCTGAGCCAAAGTCATGACTTTTATTTATTAATTTTTAGCCCTGCAACTTTAGCATGGCCTTCACACTTACATTTCTCATGTGAAAGAGCAAGAGTTTTCTTCCTTTATTTTTTTTTAGTATTGGCTAATAAAAGTTAAGTATACATTCTTATATTTTTTTCATGTAATTGTCTGAAGTATGATATACAGTACATTTTCAGAGATTTTTTTAATCTCTCAAATCTTAATGCTAAATATTCTACCTGTTGTAGTTTACAAATGTGCAAGATGCGTAAAGACAAGTCATTCTATTTTTAGACAGTGGTGATTACAGAGCTTTTTGACATTTGTTCTTAAAAACGTTTAATTGTACAAAAACTCTTTTATCTCTTATATTTAATGAAATAAAACTAGCTACACATTCATTTATGTAAAATAAGTTTGTGACTTTTCAGATTTACTCACTTAGAAGATGCATTCATGGTACATTAGCAAGAAAATCTATGTGACATTTTAAGAGAAAATCAAGTGAAATCAATGAAATGAATTTGTAAAACTCATATAGAAGCATATGTGGCACATATACACCATGGAATACTACGCAGCCATAAAAAATGATGAGTTCATGTCCTTTGTAGGGACATGGATGAAACTGGAAACCATCATTCTCAGCAAACTATCGCAAGGACAAAAAACCAAACACCGCATGTTCTCACTCATAGGTTGGAATTGAACAATGAGAACACATGGACACAGGAAGGGGAACATCACACTCTGGGGACTGTTGTGGGGTGGGGGGACGGGGGAGGGATAGCATTAGGAGATATACCTAATGCTAAATGATGAGTTAATGGGTGCAGCACACCAGCATGGCACATGTATTTTACTTATGTAACAAACCTGCACATTGCGCACATGTACCCTAAAACTTAAAGTATAATAATAATAAAATTTAAAAAAAGTAAATGCCAAAATTAGTTGACAGAACAAAATATTCCACAAAGATGATTTTTTTTCTCTTTTGTTATTGAATTCAGCCACTTATAATTACTGAGTAAATTATGTTTGTAAATAAAAGCAATTTTATCATTGAGAAACCAAGATGATTACTATGTAGTGTGACTTCAGAAATGTTTCAAAATAAAATTCAAGTGCTTTTTTTCATAAAAAGAAATTGAATTAAAATTGTAAGAAAGTTTTAGTAAACTATTTATTGATGAGATACTGGAATTCAGTGAATGTGGGGGCTATTTGATACTAGTGACATGCCTATTGCATAGGTCAGAAGCAGAACTGATGCTAAGAAAGAAAACTTAAGAGAAATAAATCTTAAAAAGGAGTAAAAATAACAGAGGATGACTAAAAGATATTTAATGTTACCACAAAAAGTTCAAACCTTCTCAGCAGTATTTTGGTTTAAAGATAATTTTCCAAATGGTTTGCTTCCCCTTTCTGGCTCCTATTGGTCCCTAGGAAGCACTTTCCCTTTCAGTACCCAGAGCATTGCCTTTCACCTATGTACCCATTTCCAAATCTCTGCTCTCCAGAAAGCATTTCATGAAAGTCAAGTATACTTTTTATGAACAAGGGCAAATGTGCACACTCCAAGAGGATCTGATTTCATCTTCTGCCACTAATGTTTTGAATAAAATCTTTCTTTTACTTAAATAACCTGAAGTATAATAAAATAAGAAAAAAGATTTAAAGAGGCAGAAGAGGTTTTCTTGGTAACAAATTACACCATTAAAGACATTCTGGCTAGGTGTGGTGGCTCAACCTGTAATCCCAGCTACTTGGGAGGCTGAGACAGGAGGATTGCTGAGATCAGGAGTTCAAGACCAGCCTGGGCAACATAGGGATACCCTGTCTCTAAAAATAAATAAATAAACAAAAGCCACTCTGACTACAAAGTATATGAGAGTTAACAGGCTAAATATCACATGGGAATCCTATACCTGTTAAGTGTACATAATCTTCAGTTAGAAGTAATTCATGACAAGTTATAAAATAAAGAGCTTTATGAAATATACATATACATTAAGAAGCAAAAGAGAATGGTATATCTAAAAATAAAAAATTAGCAAAATTCAAAAAAGCAAAATTGTCTAACTTTAAAATGGTCAAGATACAAGTATAATATCTCAAACCGAATAACCATGTTTAAAACACAAAATATATTTTTAAATTTATTATTTATTTCTAATTTTTAGTTGTTTTAAAAATATGCAGCATCTAGATTTCAAGAAACTGCCACCCTCCTACAAATGCAAGGCTAAAAGCAAAGATTATCCAGTTGAGAACAATAGTATTTATTTTATTAAGAATCTTAAATATGAATAGGCTTACATTAAATGAGACCCTTGCAAACATCTGTCTTCTCTCCCTGTAATGCTCGAAGAGGAAATCACAGCTAGTGAGCAATCATACTACATGACTCAGAAGGGCACTCTTGGAGTGTGCCTTTGCTATTACCTAACTATAAAACTTTGGCTATTAAATTCCCAATCTTCAGTTTGTCTCATAAAGATTAAAATGACTCCATGGTTGAGTATTTCTGAGATCAAAATAAACAACAGTATCCCTAGCACATACTTAGTATAAACAAAGTTATAAAAATGTAAGACTCATAAGGTGACAGAAAACAACTTTATTCTCTGTCCGTACCAATCCAATCTATCCTGACTTTTGGGTAAAATATGAGGCAGGCCTGTGCCTTTTTTGGTCATTCCCAGGTTAAAAAAAAAAAAAGAAAAGAAAAATCCCCTTCAGAATTTTAAAGAAGGGCACTCTTATTCTATAAACTTATGTTCCACAAAATAGTCAAAATATTGTTTTATTTGAAGTTAGAATCCCCTTCTTCAGCTTTGCTAAAGGCAGGAACTTGAAATAGAAACAAGGAAACAAGGGTAGGGGAAGCTAGAGGGGAGAGTATAATAGATTTCTTTTCTCCTTGATCTGTCAGCTCCTTTCTCACCTTCATGACTATTATTTCTTAGCCCTCCATGGCCAGAGTGAAGAAAAAGATCTATAATTTAAAAGTAATAAAAGGTCAAATTTGCTGTGATTAGCTGAGACATACTCTGGGTTTGGCAGGCATTTATGGGATCTGCGATATCAAAGATGCAATCTATGAAAGAAACAATTGATAAATCAGACTTCATTAAAATTATGCACTTCTGCTCTGTGAAAGACACTGTCAAGAGAATAAGTGGATAAGCCAGAAACAGGGAGAAAATATTTGCAGAAGACACAATTGATAAAGACTGTTATCCAAAATATACAAAGAATTCTTAAAACTCAACACTAAGAAAACAAACAGTCCAATTTGAAATACCTGAATAGATACTTTGTCAAAGACAAAAAGATAGTAAATGAACATATGTAAAGATGTGCCCACCGTATGTCATTAGGGAATTGCAAATTGAAATAATAATGAAATACTACGACCCATCTATTAGAATGGCGAAAATCCGGAACACTGACAACAGTAAATGCTGGAGAGGATGTGTAGCAACAAGAGCTCTCATTCATTACTGGTGGGAATGCAAAAAATGGTACAGGCACTTTGGAAGACAGTGGGAGTATCTTACGAAACTAAAAATACTCGAGCCACACAATCCAGTGATTGGGGACTTTGATATTTACCCAAATGAGTTCAAAACTTATGCCCACACAAAGCCCTACACACACATTTATAGCAGCTTTATTCATACTTGCCAGATTTGGAAGCAACCAAGATGTCCTTCAGTAGGTAAACGGATAAATAAACTGTCACGTATCCAAACTATGAATATTATTTAGTGCTAAAAATAAATGAGCTATCAAGCCATGAAAAGACATAGAATATTAAAATGCTACAAACTGAATGATTCCAACTATATGGCATTCTAGAAAAGGCAAAATGATGGAGACAGTAAAAAGATCACTGGTTGCCAGGAGTTAGAGGAAGGAAGGGATGAAGAGGCAGAGCACAGATAATTTCCAGGACATGAAACTGCTCTGTGTGATACTTTAATAGTATCATGATACACGTCATTATACATTTATTGAAATACAAAGAATACAAATAATGTACAGCACCAAGAGTGAGCCGCAATGTAAACTTTGGGTGATTATGTTTTGTCAGTATAGGTTCATCAACTGTAACAAATGTACCATCCTTGTGGGGGATGTTACATTAGAGAAGGCTGTGTGTGTGTGTGTGTGTGTGTGCCTGTGTGTGTGTGTGTGAGTGTGTGTGTGGTATATGGAAATGCTCTGTACTCTCTGCTCAATTTAGCTGTGAACCTAAAACTGCTCTAAAATATCAAGTCTATATTTTAAAAGGAAATAAAATTGGAAAAAATTTCTTTAAAAGCCAGATGTTTGTTAAGTGTTTATAGCAAGTTTTAAGTACTTTAATAAGGATATTACTATCTGCGGACTAAGTTAGAGCTGAATTTTCACTAGAAATTTTGACAATGTGATGAATGCCTATTAAATGTTAGCAAATACCAGACCAGGAGCTTTGATATCCCAAGCTGCTTATGTTTTTGTTTGTTTGGTTTTACATTGCTCAACAGAAACACAATATAAAATTCGATTATTTCTAAATTGTCCAAGCTTTTCAGGGTGCTTTGAAGTTCATCTTTTAAGTGCATGTGATTTAAACTGAGTTGTTTTTAAGATAACCTTAAATGATTATCATTGTGGTTTGGGAATTCCTCAAATAATTTCTGGATCGAAACGAATAATGTATATGTCAGATGAAAGGCAGATTTTATTTTAAAAAGAGTGTGCTGGGGACCCTGGAAAATAGGATATTATCTAGCTGAGCTGCTACTCAGATCCACAAGATGAGCATAAATTAGAAATTAGGGCTAGATATTTCTGAATCTTCAAAAATCTTGAGAAGCACCAAGTCGAGGTTTTTAAAGTCAAAGTTGTTCTCACTTTTTAAAAGTTGGAAACCAACTTAATTAAAAAATGAGTACTATCATGTCAAAACACCCATATGTGCTCTGTGCTCTTTCTGGATCTTGTGCAGCAAGTTTACAACCTTTGATATAGACTCTCGTTGATTAGTAAGCCCCCAAAAACTCATGTATAAAATAATAACTTATATAATCTACTTCTTTCAGGTTAATTTATTGACATTTGGAAAAATAAAAGTAGGGGATTGGCTACTGAGAATAGCTTGGTAATAATTTTACAAGGGTAAGATTAAGAGATTTTAATTTTTACTTTTGTGCCTTCTAATGAACTTCTTTAAGGAATACTTCTAAAGAAATATGTATCTCAAGTTGTCTTCTCTTGATTAAGAGTCTATAACAAGCTATATCAACAACTAGAGGGAGACCTTTCTAAATTTGAATTACTGGTGACATTTTTACTTTGAATTTCAAACTTGTAATTTAAATTTAAAAAATGATCACTAAATGGCAACTTTGAAGCAAAATCTTTAGTGACAGAATTCTAGATCTTTCTTTATGCTCTTGGATTATTTCCCCTTCCAATTGAAAACATAATCTATTCATGTAAGATTTGTCCCTTTTGGCACGACCGACGATTATATTTTATCTCAATTGTATTTTATGCAAAACAATGCAATTTTTCTAAAATAAAGACAAAGTAGAATTAAAAATTTTCCAAAATGAAGCAGAATTCTTGAAAATTGAAAGCATGGATACTGTTGTTTTAAGAAAAAAGAAAAAAAATCAATAGATAATATGAGTAATTAAAAGGCAGTTTTGAAAAAGAGGATAATAGCTTCAAAAGGCACAGCATATTTATTACAGACATTTTTAACGGACAGACAATTGAGGCCAAGAGGAAGCAATATTAAAACAAAACAAACAATGGACAAAACAAGAAACACTTTCCTGGCTGAAAATGCAGTATCCACAGTGAAAAGTCTGAACAATGCAATGCTAAATTAATGAAACAGACCCACATTTAAACACACTTGTTAAGATTTTCAAAAATTGAGGCTAAGGAGCCACTGGATATCTTTCTAAGCAAAAGAGAGAACTAAACAAAAGTAGGATATATATGAAAGTAAATGTGTTATAGACTTATTTTTATAAGAATGGAAAATAGAAAATAGGGAAATTTTTCTGAAAATTTAATGACGGAGATATTTCCTAAGATGAACCTTTAGTAACAGAATTTACTTGAGTGAACATTCCAGCAAAATAAGGCATAGACCTATGAATGCAAAAGATAAAGAATATAAATAGCTGTTAAAAACTTTTAGCTGGATTTAAATAACTGCTGAATTTGTGGTTTATATTTATACCTACAAAAGCTCACAAGGTCAGCAATGAGGACAAGGGAAAGCATATCTAATACCTAATATCTCATATTATGGAATATCTCATATTATCTTATATAATAGAAATAGAAGCTAATTATAATAATTTTCAATGTTTATTGAAATATGCTATTTTTGGTATTCTCTAGAATTAAGGAATTAGAATGTCTAAGATCTATCCCTATAGAAACAAACAAAAAAATGGAAAAAGTCAAATAATGAAAGGGAGGGGGAAAAACAGAAATAAAAATGCAGCCTGATCAAATGAAAAATATAAAACAGATGGCAAAATATGACTAAACATACAAAATAGCACGTTAAATGTGAATGTGTCCATTAAGAGAAACAAACTTTCTGATTGTAAATATTATTTTATTTAAAATCTAGATATATGCCCTTTAACTTCTCCCAAAATCCTGAAATACATAAATTAATTAATACAAAAATAGAAATGTAATTGAGTAGTGAAAACCCCAATGGCAGAAAACATACTATAAACACATTCTGACCGAAAATGTGATGCATTTAATAATAACCAATGAAACTTGTCATCAAAGTATTATCTTACACTTACATTTTTACTTATTTTAATTAACACTTGGGAAGGATTGTACTTTATGCTACAATCTCTGATGTCAGGTCCTTGTGTTCAAACGTTGTCTACAGCTTAGTAGCTGCTTAATATTTAATATGAATATCCAGATGAATCGAATAATAATACAGAAAAGTCCAAAGTGTTAACACAAGGACACTTGGAAAGGTGTACTAGATCAATGCCATTCTAAAAACTGGAAAAAGAACTTATTCCCATAAAAATCCTTTAATCATATAACTATCTGTATGAGAAAAACTAATTCTTCAAGAAACAGAAATTTTCTCTGTTATTTACATCATTATGTAGGCTGAAATTTTTACAATGCTATATGACCAAGATAAGACAGAAAAATAATAGACTAAGAAACTTTGGGAACATAAATTAAAATATCCAATATTAATATTGGAATTCAAAAGGAACAGTATAATAAAAGAAAAATTATCATTTACCAACAGTGATATAATTCACAAATGCAAAGCTATCCAATAGTTAAATATGATTAACTACATTAACAATTTACTAAACATAATCAATGATCTGTGTTCCTTTCTCATTAGGTACAAAGAATGTATTTAAAACCTTAAAAAAAATCTTAGTAAACTACAGTAAAAAAGTCTCTATTTTGCTAAGGAATATCTTGTAAATTAAGAGCATTATACTTAACTGTCAAACATTAAAACTATTTTCATTAATTTGAAGAGCATGGCAAGGACCACCATTACTAATCAGCTTTGTACTGAAGACCATAACTAGTGAAATAAGACACACACACACAAGAAGTATAAATTTAGAAAAGAAAGTAAAATTTTCTCACTTTATGTAGATCACATGATTGTATTAATAGAAAAATATTATTATGGTAATAAGAAAGTTGGAGAATTTGTTAAAGATCGATAAAAATAAAATGTCACTTTCTTCACTACCAAAACTCAAAATAAAAAATTGTAATAGGAAAAATAATTTTTCCATAAACTTACAAAATCTATAAATACATAAAATACATTTGAAAAGGTATATGCAAATATTTAAACTATTTAAAATATTGAAGGACATAAGATACCTCAACAAGAAACACCATTATGTTAAAGGGTCAATTCTTTTAAGTAACCTAAAAATGTAACCCTAAGCAAAACTTCAGAGTTAATCCTGAGAACTAAAAATGCAAGAATAACACTACAATTTTGAAAAAAAAAAAGGAATAACAATAAGGGTATTTCCCATTTTTATATTAAAACATGTTATCAAACTACAGTGTGTCTACATGCATAGAAAACAATGGACTGTAAGAGAAAATGAGGGGAGAAAAAGGCTTAGATATCACTGGGAGTCTTCTTTGTTATTAAGACAGAATTTCAAGCCAGTGGGGGAATATGCATTTTGATCAGGGATGTGCGTCTGTGTGACTTGTGTATATCCACTTATGTATACATTCGTTATATGTCTATATTTATATCTATCTGCATGTATCTTTATCCTATCTATACCTATATTTATTTAATGTTTATTTTTTCAGCCTTGCTTATGAAAGTGAAAAATTTTAAAAAGAAGTTTATTTAGTAAAGTAATAGTTAAATAAATGATATTTTTCCATAATAAAAATACTATTTAGAAATTTAGAAAATATTAGAAATCTTTATGTGCTTATATTATTGAATAGAAATAACAAGTCAAAAACATATATATAATACATCATTTATATCCATACAGAATTATGTTTGTGTCTATTAATTCAGTAATAAAATGGCTTTCAATTTATGTGGGAAAAACAACTATGTACAAAACCAAAGACATACATTTGTATATGTGTTTGTGTATATATGTAATTATATAGTATGTTTTTCTATGTGTATATAGGTTCCTTAAGGAGAGAGGTAAAACTTGGTTTTATATACATGCGAGAAGACAGGAAAATGAAGTTCCACTTTTTCACCCTGTAAATTTCTGTATTGTTATAACGTTTTACTATTAGCATGCATTCAAAGTACAGAAACTAAATTTTATTTAAATTTAGAATCCCTTCCTTGCTTTAGTGCCCTTCAGCCTGCATGGAGAAAGCAGTGCTAACACTCACAACAATGATTCGTTTCTGATAGACATATGTACTAATACAACCTAGCCATATTTCATCTACTACCAGGTGCCCTTGCCACACAGAAAACTTTCAGTCTATATACTAGTACTATGTATTATGCATATCAAAATTTGCATAGTACAAAAATTTAAGAAAAATTAAAAACAATAGCCTAATTTAAGGAGGTAGCAAACAATTGTTAGTCCTTTCGTTTACTTGGTTTAAACTTAGAATAAATTGACACCTGACATGTATTCTTTTTAGGATTCTCTTTGCAAGGAGGATTATGTGAGCATTGTGTTTACTCATCTAAATTAGCAAAGTAGATTCCTGTGAAATTCTTGTTAGAATTAATCAGCTGTCATTGTGTCATATCCTTACGATCAATGTGAAACTTTGGCCTCTGCAACCACCATACCACTAATAACTGTAACCAGTAGAGTAGAGGCAGGCTTAGCTAACTTCATTTTAATTTTACTTCTGAACTTTTATTATTTTCTTCCATTATGTCAAGTAGGTGGAATGAATAACAGTCCTCTTCTGTGACATTCGGTGGCTTGTGAAATTCTAAGGCTGATTTAGTGTGATGCTATTGGCCTACATCCCATATGTTATTGTGCGGTTCACAAAAATAACACTGGTTTATCATTTTTCATTCTAAGATTTAATCTTCTGAAGTCATATTGCTGCTGTACCATACAAATAATATACACATTTCCACTTTTAATTCCAATTTGCAACTGTGAATGGTCTAAAGTGTCTACCTTTCTAATCTGCATGTATATTTCAAAGATTAGAAAAGCTATGTTTAAAGTAAATTTAATATTGACAGCAGACTGACATATTTAGTGATGTCTCCTGAAGGACTATTTGAATAAAGCTGGCATGTTTTTACTTCAGAGAAACTAACAACAATTAGTAAATTAATTGATCATCTTCTGGTGCCTGACATATTGATCCATGAAGTGAGCACAGGATTTTTATCATGTGACCCTCCTGGGGACTCAGAACAGTACTCATCGATGCATTATTCTTCTCAGAAGAGAAAATGAAGCAGTAGAGGAAATACAAAAAGTCAGTCACTTGTAGGCCCATGGAGAGTATTAAACTCTTACTGCTTGGCAGACAATTAATAAAGAGGAGAACAACTATGTATCTGTGTCCCTGAATAACCATATTCTGTTCATCTTTATTTCAAATAACATTAATTATGACTTCCTTCTCCCCCTCGACTTCCTTACTGACACGTGTGCACACATATTCTAACAGATGCACCTGAAAATTGAATTCATGGAGGCTTTTCATGTACTTGATAATGCCCACTGACGTATTGATCTAAGTAGGTCATATTAGGGTGGATATTACAAGATTCAATGTTTCTTCTATTAGCTTTTTGTTGTTGTTGTTGTTGTTGAGACGGAGTCTCACACTGTCTTCCAGGCTGGAGTGCAGTGGCACAATCTGGGCTCACGGCAACCTCCGCCTTCCAGGTTCAAGTGACCCTCCTGCCTCAGCCTCCGGAGTAGCTGGTATTACAGGCACCCGCCACCATGCCCTGCTGATTTTTTGTATTTTTAGTGGAGACAGGGTTTCACTATGTTGGCCAGGCTGGTCTCGAACACCTGACCTCATGATCCACCCTCCTTGGCCTCCTAAAGTGCTGTGATTACAGGCGTGAGCCACCACACCTGGCCTCTTTTAGCGTTTTTAAAATTAATTATATATTTGATTTTTATAGGTCATAAAGCATGTAAAAAACCCTTTGGGCCTCATAGAGCCATGGGAAACTGATCTCTTGTATTTTTCCACTAGAGTTTTCCTTGATGGTTTTCATGTCTGTGTCCATAAAATATTTCTGTCCAATCTTTTGCTTTAAACAAGCATTTTCAGATTCATCATGTATCTGCATTGGTACTATTTTTCACAGAGATTAAAAAAATAAAAATTGCAGTGAAAAAATTGTAGCTTTAAAGTTATTATTTTTATTCTTGTAAAAATTTGTATAGTTTAAAGCTTCTTGTCATCCCTTTTCTCTTCTAAATTTATCCATATTTGTCTTTTTTTATTTGATTTGATTTCCATGTCACTATCCTGAATAGTACACTAAAATTAATTTCCATATTATCCAATGATTAACTTGGTCATATCTTCTATGTATTTAGGAACACATATCAAATATAATCTTCAGCAAATGCTACAGTTTTATGTATGAAAGGGATACAACTTCTGCTTTTTCTAATTAAAGGTAAATATGCATTAATTTCAATGATTGTTTCTATTATCTTACAGCCTGAGTGACTTCATGTCTGTGTTTGGGTATGTGTGTGGCTGTATGTTGTTTACAAAGTATCCATTTCTAAGGAGACTTTGAGTAATTCACACATTAAAACACATTGTGAGAAAAAGCAAATTGAGGGGTTAACAAAAATGGAATACATTTATTGCAAACAGAAGGAGTAAATGTTTCTAAACACTTGAGATAAATTGATAGCTACAACATGGCACTAAAATGTATTCTTAGTTTTCTTGAAATAAAAGAGAAAACATATTGGATTCTAACCTTTCCTTTGAAACCATATGTGTACATCCAGGAAGACAAAATATATCTGGATCAAAGCACAAAGGAAAACAATATCCATTCAATAAACATGCATTGAAAGTCTGTGCTTAAGAGGTATGTGTGAAAAACGTACAAATCGCAGAAAAGCCCAACATTTAAAACAAAAACCCCACTTATTTAAAGGTCCAAAGTTCCTCTGTAAGAAATGAAGGATTTTAGTAATCTTAATCAGACAAAGTATACCAATATTAGGATAAAAAATAAAGAGAAAAACAAAACAATTAACAAAAAATCATTACAAAATTAGAGATTAAAGCTCTTCCAGTTCCTGAGAACTCATCTCAGGATAGTAGAAAGTGTACACAGCTACTGTAGTCAGAACACAAGTTTTAAGGGTTTGAAAATTACTAAGAGAACTAAACACAATGACAACTCTTAAAACAGACTTTTTGGAATAGCCCCAGTGACATGTTTTAAATTCTTCAAAGAAAAGAGATACATGTTTTCAATAAGTTTGGCTGAAAAAGAATATAAATAAGAAAGTAGCTATTCTACTACTCTCTTGGACCAAGTAGAAATTTCCCAAGGTGAGTAAGGGCAGAGTTAGGGCAGAAACTGGCTGCAAAGGTGGGTGCAGGTTATTGAACAGAAGGCCAAGGTGTCTCCAGAGCAAAGCCTGCTATGGTGATCAAGTTAAAAAAAAATTGAGAAAAGAACACTATACTAGAAAGAAGACGGGGTAATTAACATGATGGATAATACTATATGAAAAACAGAAGGTGGAAAGGAGGAAACAAACAAAAAACAAAAACAAAAATCAGAATGATTGACACATTACTATAAAATGTCTTGATGTCTGATAGTATAATTCCTCCTTCTGTTCCTCAAGACAGCCATGGCTATTTTTCGGTGCTGTTTACTTTCTGGCAAATTTTAGAAACTTGTATTAATTTCTACAAAAACCTAATGCTATATTGACTGGATTTGCATTACATTGATAGATCAGTCTATTGATAAATATGGGAAGAAATGACAGTTTTACACTTTTCACTACAAGAGCATCAATTTACACCTGAATTAGTTTTCTTCAAAAATATTTTATAATTTTCAGGTGGATATAATACACATTTTTCCCATTTACTTAAATTTATAAATATTGATATACATGGTATGAATTTAAAAGTAGCATTTTCTGTTCACTTTCTATATACAGCAGATACACTATAAAGATGATTTCAAAATTGATACTATACAAAGATAGAATTTTCTTTTCACTTTCTATTCTATTTCTACTCATTTTCTATTCATTTTTATTGGAGAGCTCTTTATTTTATGTCTTAAATTTTAATTGGTCTGTTTTTACTATTATTAACTTTCTCTAGTTTTATTTTTCTAGTAAGTATTTCATCTAGTAGTTGAAATTTATTTGCATAGTTTTGTTCAAATAATATTTAAATTTTCTCTTTTGAGGGTTTTTTCTTTTATGCAATTTACTAATTTTCATCAACTAGATCTTTCATGGATAGAAAAAGTGAATAGAAAATGCTATTTTTAAATTCATACCATGTATATTAATATAGCATATAGCTATATGCGATATATAAAGATGACTTCAAAATTGTTACAAATGTATGAGCACATATATTGATCAAGTTAATGAATTCAGATAGGATTATCTCACTGATTAAACAAAATTATTTAGGTTAACCAGTAAATTCCAACACTATGTTATTTATAGTATCAAAACGCAAAAAGCAAAGTTAATGGGTGCAGCACACCAACATGGCACATATATACATATGAAACAAACCTGCACGTTGTACACATGTACCCTAAAACTTAAAGTATAATAATACTAAAATTAAAAAAAGAAGAATGTTCAAGTATATACTACATAAATGCAGAAACAAACAAATAAGAAGGTTCTTTTTTTAATGGAAAAATAATGGACAAGATAGAAATTAAGACTAAAGATTTCAGAATAGAATAACAATGATGTTTCTTAAATGCTAAGGGCTGTCATTTACACTGCAGATAAATTTTGTACCCAATAACTCAACAATTATCAGGAAGCAAAAACTACAAGAAATGAAACGGTAGCACATTAAAAGTAGCAGACATTAATACACTTCTCACAATCCATGAAAGATCTACTTAAGGAAAATTAGTAAAATGCATGGAAGAAATAACCCTCAAAAGAGAAAATGTGAATATTATTTGAATAAAACTATGCAAATAAATGTGAACTACTAGATGAAATACTTTTCTGAAAAATAAAACTAGAGAAAGATGATCATAATAAAATCAAGGTGATTGAAATTGAAGCAATAAAATAAAGAGATCCCCAACAAAAATATCACAAGGGCCAGATGTTTTTTCAGAGAAATTCTACCAGCCTTTTAAAGATCAGATAGTGCCAATACTGCTTAATGTATTCAGAACACACAAAAAGAAGGGAAACTTTTGAATTTACTTAAAGGAGTGAGTATGATGTTAATTGCCCAATATGAAAAAGATATTAGCCACTTAGTAGCATAACTATAGAGTTAAGATCCAGTACGATTAATATGATTGGGTATTTTGAGTGAGAAATATCCTAGGACAAAATAACAAAAATTATAATGATAACTCTCAATGGATAAACAAAATTGGATTTTGCATTTCTACAATCCAAAATTATATATCTGAAGAACAGAGAATAAAACACAATCTTATGAGGAAAAAATAAATCAAATCTGTTCCTGTGATGAACCAGATATTGTGTATAACAGACTAAAAATTAAAGCACTTACTACACACACACACACTTAATGGAATAAAACAAAGCATGTTTTTAATGATTATAATCTCAGTATTGAGATTGAATGAATAAATACAAATTCTCAGTAGAGATATAAATCCCTAGTAAAGAAAGAGTATAAGAGAACCAAGGGAAATTTTAGAACTGAAAATACAATTGACAAAATAAAAATTGTAAAAATATTAAGTGGACTTGATACTCCAGAAAAAAAGAGCAAAGAGTAAAGTTAAAGATAGAGCAATGTTAAGTATCTAAGGCAAAAAACAAAAAAACAAAGGCTTGGAGCAAAACAATGAAGAAATTCTGATGGGACTGATAGATATCAAATTGTTAGATGTATGCATTTGGTATTCCAAAGAGAGAAGAGATGGAAAAATAGGGGAGAAAATATACGTATGAAAAAATAATGGCCCCAAATTCCTGAATTTTATGAAAACACAAATTTACAGATGTGACATGCTAAATGAAATCTAAGTTAAATAAACACAAAGAAGCCCACACCTAGGTATATCATTGTTAAGCTTTTGAAAACCAAGTATAAACATCAACTCTTTAATGCACCATGAGATTACTGAAATTACGTACAAGAAAGCAAAATTCAATTAAGGCTGACTTTTCACTAGAAGTCATGGAGAGTGATAAGGTAGGCTCTGAGAGTGGAAGAATATTTGTAAGTGTTAAAAAGACAATTACCCCAGACTACATATCCAGAGAAGGTATCATTCAAGAATAAAGCTGGTTTCCAATTAAGTTAATTGTATTTCAGAAGTAAGTTAAAGATTATTTATGACTACAAATTTCCTCAGAAATACACGTTAAAATTCACAATAGTTCAATAAAATATTATCAGATTGGCAAGGGAGCAGGAAAATACAATCCATACAGAAGGGAAAAAATAAATAGAAAGGTATTAAGATTGCCACCGATTAAAGTTAGGAGAGAAATAACTTAAAACAGAAATTATCACTATATCCCATATCTTAAAAAATTAGTAAAGTCATGGCCTATATAAGTATAGCCTATTTCAAATGTGTAGATGTAAAAACTACAATGTCTAAGGTGAAAAATACAATAGATGAGATTAAAAGCACATTAAAAATTGCAAAATGTAACTTTAGTGAATTTGAAGACATACTGAAAGAAAATATTCAAAATAAAATATGTAGGGTAAAATGAAAACACACACACACACACACACACACACACACACACACACACACACAACACAAAACACCATGACACCATGGGGTCTGTGGGCCAATTCAAGCAGGCTAATATAGGTGAAATTAGAGTCCCTCCAAAAGAGAAAAAAAGCAATAAATATATACTTAAATAAATAATGCCCAAACATTTTCAGAATTTGGAGAACTCAATGAAACCCAAGCTCAGGACACCTGAAGGAAACTAGCTTAAGACATAATAATTAAAGTGCTTAAAACCATTGATAAAGAGAAAATTTTAATGGTAGCCAGGGGAAAAAAAGAAAGCACATTTCAGATGGAGAAAGATAATGATAGCAGATTTCTTGCTGGAAAAAAAATGCAAGTGAGAAAACAGTGGATGGTATCTTTACAGAAAGAAAGGTATCCCATCCTAGAACTCTATACTCAGCAAAAGTTGGTAACTTTCTATGTCATCTGATATATGGCCTGGAACATGATTCCTAGGTATAGAATATATTGCCTTTAGAACCCAAGGATGCCTTTCAGGTAGTTGCTTTATTTTTTGTATGAGGATATGGAAGATCTAGAACATTCATAACTTAATTGGAGGTAAATTAACTTGCACATGCTCATTGCCCTTTCACTCCTAAAAATATTACTGAAGTGGCAGTTCCCTGAATGTTAGAGACGTTATCTTGTACCCCTGGAGCTCCTGTGTCTTACCCAGGGCTTCAGTGTACCACCCCTTGTTGTCTAATCAATATATTCTTGATGCAATGGGTTAGTTTGATGTTTAATGCGATCACTAGTCTGTCCAGATTCTTTAGTCTATATTATGACAAGAGTAGGAGAATTATAACTCTAAGGCAAAAGTCTAAATGAATATTTTTATTTGTCTCACTAGAATGGGAGGAGTTTCTTCTCTTAATTGGAACGTAAGAGAATACACTATGTAAATCAACGGCATGTCCCTGTACTTGAGTCCTTATTAATCTGCTCTAGCAGTAATATCACAGCAGCTGCTAACAAGGGTACTGCTTGATGAAGCCTGTGTAGTCTACTATCTGCAGAATTCTCTCAGTTCCTTAGAGGCCAGATTGGTTAGTTAAATGGAGATATGACAGGGACAACTGACCCTACATTCTTTAGGTCCTTAATAGTGACACCAATATTTACCATCCCACAACCCTAATGTATAATATTGTTTTTTATATACTTTCTAGTCAGGGGCAGGGCTGTTAACAGTTTCAGAGATTTCCACGCATGCCATGGAACTACTGTGGTGGTTTCTCCAACTGCCAAGCACATAGATTCCAACTATGCACTGAGGAATTGAAGAAATGATCCCTGGGAGGGTCCATAGACTTAGTGGGCCCCCTGTAAAACAGAGTTTAGCCAGGACATTTTTCATTAGCTGGTCCCATACACACCCACTTTAACTAAGCCACGATGGTGATTTGGGTTTCCAATATGAATATCAACTCAGACACGGTGTTCAGTCATCTTGGAAATATATTATTCTCCTTTCTCTAACGTTCAGTCACCACAGCGAATGACCACAGGTCCCACTGAGGAAGGCATGTGGAAATCATTGTGGTAAGTACTTGCCATAGTGGTACAGTGTTTTTCCTCTTAGGATCATGGCCACCTCTTCGGACAATTGGTCCTAATTCTAAACATTGACTCATGTTTAGGAACTGAGCAAAGGTGCAAGACTTTTAAATAGAGTGGCCACACTCAGTGGGCAGATTCTTTATTTCTTTCCATTTGATTTTAGATGCTAAGCAGTAACCCATCGAACTTGCTCCTAGAGACAGGATGCTTTATTCATCGTCTCCCATAACTCTCTGAGGATCAAATCTCCTTGGCGGCCCCTCTGATTTTTCTGGTCATGAAGATAATTGCAGTTCAAGTTTTCTGGCTAAGTGGAGCCACTTGCCCTCTATTACTTTGGGGCTCTACCTTTCCCTTGAGTTTTGGCAAACACGGATGTGTGATTGCCTTTCCTGTCATCAATCATGGCTGACAGAAGAGAGCAAGCCCCAAATTCCCAGTGATGCTGGCACTTTTCACATCATCACATTCTTGATTGTATCAGTAAATGGAGGGTTATTTCTTTCCTCCCAAGGAACATTGTCCTTTGGTGGACCTTCTGGCCTTTACGTAATATATCCATTCCAGCATGTCCATTTTCCTTAGCCTCTATTTTTTCCTCTCCTATCTGACAAGGTAACTACGGTCTTTCCATTTTGCTGAGCGCTGGCCATCACATTCTCCAAAATTATAGACGCCATCCCAACAGCAAGTTTTTCTAGCCCCGCACCCCACCCCCCGCACCACCCCCCCACCCCCCGCCCCCGCCAAACCCAGGGTGCTTGTTATGGTGGTAAAACCCATTTCCTGTTAGGAATAAAAAAACCACTAAAAACCTTCTATTTTATCCAGCAATATATCCAGCTTCCTTAATGAAGCAACCTTCAAAATCAAATTCCAGGAGTGCTCTACTGGCTCATGTTGGTGCCTGCTCACTAATTCTTGCAACACTTTTGGTGTATAGGCTTTTTACTCTCTCATCAGGCCTGGCAAATGACCAGAGATCAATGCCAAGCACTACTGATAAAACATTTTAACAGATGCCTACATTGGGATCAGACAATTCTCCCAACACATCCAACATTACTCTAGCTCCAAGATAAACATTTTTTTTCTGATTTCCTGCTACTTTTAAATTAGATTTAAATAAAGAACTAGATATGACATATCTGATTTCTTGGACAACCTTGAATTTTACTTGTGCTGGTTGAAATATGAAGATACAGCACCACCACACTTCAAATCATTTGACCTTGTTTTGATGTCTATGTCTGCCACTTACAGGTTTTGAACTTTGGCAATACATTTAAACCCCATAAGCCTTAGTTTCTTATTTTACCCAATGTTATCTTTTCTGCTTTAGATAATATTAAGGTTTATCTAAGGGGAAAGGAGTGAAAATAAAGAGAACTTAACCAAGTTCAGTTAACAAACTTAACAAACTTAACTGAACTTAACAAAATTCAGTTAGAAGGAATAAGTTATGCTATTTGATACTACAGTAGGGAAATTATAGTTAACAATAGTTTATTGTGTATCTGAAAAGAGCTGGAGGAGAAAAATTGTAGTATTCGAATACAAAGAAAAATGTTTGAGGTCATGGATAAATATCCCAATTATCTGGACTTAATCATTATATATTGTACACACGTATCAAAATATCTCATATATCACGAAAGTATGTACAGCTATGATATATCAATAAAAATACAAAAAATAAAAATACTAATGTTTAAGCTTTTAAACTATATAATGTATTAATTAAAAAGTATTGCATTGGGTGCCATGTAAAAAAGAATCATATTGAAAGAAGAAATCTCATACGGAACAGACCCATATTAGATTAAACCTTCTAAATATGAAGTGAGATTAAATTTAAGATATACACAAGCAGTGCCATATTTTTAGGTGTTTGGGGTGTCTAATAGTTAGTGGTCACTGATTTACATATAATGAATGACTGTCAATTTACTAGTTAAAATAGATGTTTCTTAAAATCTGTGTTGAAGAATGTAACAGAATTCAGAGTATTTCCCCAATATTCAATTTTATTCATCATGTCTACTTATTTAGATTGCTGTCTAAAAATACAAACAAATTACAGATTAGCCATTAGCACCTGTTAAGAAGCCTTATTAATTATGTTAACTAGCTATTGCCAACAATGATAATTCTTTGGAGATAAGAAACTTACTAAACTAATTTTTACTTGATGTAATACTGATTAATGACTCAGAAAACTATCTTATTTTGTGTCCTGTTACTTTATATATTAGGTTTCAATGATTTATTTTAGCTTTCCAATGCTTACGCCTACTTTTACCCCACTACCCCATTGCTTTAATCATACTTCCTAAAATGTTGTTTTCTCCACTTATATAAAAGATGTAGCTCAATTTCCATGTTTTTTATTATGCCTTCACTGACTGTTTTCTTGAATAACCATTGTTTTCCCAGCTAGACTGCAAATTTTTAGGAAATATTGATCACATATGATATAATTTTTATGTATACTCTGTGTGCTTAACTTGGTTATATATCGAATATTTTTGGAAAAATTGAAGGAGAATAATGACATTGGGAAATGTCTGAGACAAAGAGTGCTATATTGTCCTGTGCCAAGACAATGGCAGCTCAATACACAAGGTATTTTGAGAGAGAGATTAAATGAGGTTAAAAACCACCAAAAAATTCTTTTCTTGGTTCCAATTTTTTAAAGTAACAGAAAAGAAACAAATCCATTAATGCTAAAAATACTGATAAACATATGCTAAAATTAATGTAATGGTTTTATTCACTTGTACTTTATTAGAAACTAAATAGAATACTGATTTGTTCTCACATCTCTCTTTCCATCAATTTCCCCACTGTAATAGAGAATAAAGGCAACAGGGCTTTTAAGAACTCTTTAATCTATTTTCTTGCATTTTTTACAGCTCAGCTCCTAAAAGTACTCAGGAGACATGTATCCAGGATTACAGTGTAATTTATAAATAACTGATGGTTATACCAAAACATAGAATATTACCAATATTAACATTATTGGTTCAAGAATGAAAGTTCATTTTACTTGTTACACAGTTCATGTTGTTAATCAGGAAGTAATCACCTACTATGATTAAAAGTATTATTTACACTAATCACAATGGAGAAATGTGGCAAATATCTCACTAACGAAGTGATTAAGGTTAACATCACCAATAATAAGTCATGTTAATAGCATGTATCAGTTGATGTGATGTGATGAAAAGGGCACTTCATCTCTATGGTATTCTCCCTCTAAATGTATAGCCCCAGCCCAGTTACAAGAAACCATCACACAAATCAGAATTGAGAGGTTACTTACAAAATGCATATCTGACCAACACTTTTCAAAAATGGTAAGGTCACGAAAGACAAGGAATGACTGAGAAACCATCACAGATTAGAGGAGACTAGGAGACATGATGACAAATAACAATGTGGTATCTTGCATTTGATCTTGGACAGGAAAAAGACACAAGTGTAAAAACTCATTAGTGATATCTGCATAAAGGCTGATTGTTTAGTTAATCTCACTTCATATTTACAAGGTTTAATCTAATATGGGTCTATTCTGTATGAGATTTCTTCTTTCAATATGCACCAATGTTAAATTCTTAGTTTTAATAAATGTAGCATGGTTATGTAAGATGCTTATATCAGAGGAAGCTGTAAAAACGGTATGCAGGAACTCTCTGTACTGCCTTTGCAACTCTTCCGTGAATTTAAAATAATTTAAATATAAAAACTTTAAAAAATAAGAAAGGCTTTAAATAGGCAAGAAAAAGTATTATTTATAACCTTTGTCTAGCCAACAACAAAGGTCCCACAGTTTATCATAAATGCCATTTATATTGAACTAGGAAATATTTGCACAGAATGAAAGCTATTTGAAAACCCAAGAACTCTTTCATTAGAGAAAATTCATACAACCTAACAAAGACACCCAGATTATTATAGAGCTGATTTGTCCAAATTTCTTCCATATTAAGTGTATTTTGATTTTTACTAAAAGTCTCTAAATTTTTAAATTCTTTTGAATGTCACATGTAAACAAACAATAATTGCCCCAATGAGGAATTATCCAAGAAATTTAAATAAAATATGAATAATTTAAAAATCAGACACTGAAGCAGATTGCTACAAAGGGTATAATAATTTAGCAAAATATTTATTCACATACTCATTCGTCATCCATTCTATATTGCTGAAGAGCTACTTTGTGTCAGTCACTGTTCTAACTTCCAGAGATCCAGAGCTAGAAGTGAAGATGAGAGATACGATTCTATTGTCATTAAAATTATATTCTAGTAAAGAGTAGTTGCATAACAAATAAACAAGAAAATAAGATAATTTCTGATCAAGATAAGGGTTAAGAAGAAAGTAACAAGTATGATTCTATAGAAACTAATAATGGGAGGTATTTTGTAATAGACATAAAAGAGTTTTTTTTGAGAAGATGATTTTGAGATAATGACTTAAATAAAAAAAAGTTCAATCAATTGAGGATCCAGAGATAAATTATCTAAGGGGAAGAACAAAACAGATTTCTTGAGGCATAGAAAAATTTGACATCATATCAGTGAAGATCCTGGCAGAAAAGAAAATTCCACTAAGATGGCTTCAACGAAGAGAGTAGTTACAGAGGAGTCACCCAAAAGCAAGCGAGAGTGGAAAAGTTGATACCTCCCTTAGGCAAGAAGAATAAACAAAAGAAATACAGTTCCTGGAGTCCAGTGAGACCTGGAATCTTAAATCTTAAAGTAGGGGAGCCACATGGCAAGAGCTACAACTTGGAAAGGCCCAGTAAACAACCAGAAGCTCTATGTCAAAGCAGGGAGGGGTAAAATAAGAAATCACCTACCTTATCTCTCATTGCCTTCAGATCTTCTGTTCTTGTGTCCTTTTGAACTCACCTATTGTTCTCTATAAGGTCACACTGCTTAGTAGATGACACAGAAGGAAAAGAAATGGATCAGCAAGTTCAAATTGAAAATGAACACCACAAAATATTTGAAGAAAAAATTCTAGAGTAACAGAAGCATAATGATGTAAGAAAATGTTATAAAACACATCAAAGTTTTAGACAGAGTTCAGCTTAAGCTACAGGGAGGAGTTTGGACTTTACTCTGAGCATTGGGAAGCTACTGAGAAGTATGTATTTAGAAATTCAAGGAGTGTTCTGGCATAATCAAGAGGCATAAAATATGCTTCAAAGTAAATTGGAAATAAGAGTAGAGAGGGAAGATGTTGATCACCTACATGATGAAAAAGGAAAAAGAATTTTGGTATAACACTAATGGCTGCATGTCTTGGATTGTAAATTCCCTAATAGTATATGTCTATATGATGTAGTATCGTCTACATATACATGGGTTATAGAATCAGAGAAATAAAAACCAAAATAAAGTTACAGGTTACCTATTAGATAACTCATTTTCAGCTAAGATGACTCAGTCAGCATATAATTTAGTAATGACCAACTTTACAAACATAGTTTGTGATAAAGCTATTATTGAAAGATATTTCTTTATTTCAAGAACAGTGACACAAATATCTATAAATGTTACTGTGCTCTTCTGAATCTATTTGAATAATGATCTGGTCACAAATACTTATTGATGAAAATCTAGGTACATAAAATATATTACTCAATCATTATATCTAACCAGTGTTATAAAATTTAACTTACATCATTAGCAGTTTTATCTTAGAGTTAATTTATTCACTCCTGCAGTGTTTTACTATTTCAGCTAAAACTTCCTAACTTTGAAATTTTCTAAAAAGACAGAAATAGTATTTTAAAACTTATCAAAAACATGTAGTAGGGGGCAGGGTTATCTCTAAATTATTTCTTCTAATCTAATACAAATAACAAATTCTACCTTTCTATGGTGTTACAATTCACATCATTGAAATCAGACTTTCCATGATAAAAAGCAGATTTTTATGCACGAGCACAAAGCCACAGTGGTTATAAAAAACCTTTTTGGCAAAAAAAGGTAGAGGTATCTTGAGTATGAATAAAAATGTATTATAAAGCAAAGTGTATTTAACCATTGGACAATGGACAATGTGGAGCTATAATCCTGAACTTTATAGTAAGTCTTGAATTCATGTAGGGTGAATTCTCCCACTTTGTACTTCTGCGAAACTGTTTATCTATTGAAGCTCCTTTATAATTATTAAAATGTCAATACTCTCCTAAATGATCTGTACATTTAAATGCAACTCCAATCTAAATCCCATCAAGATTTTTAGACATACAAAAAAGCTGATTCTCAAATTTATGTGGAAAGATCAAAGAGCTTCAATAGAAAAACAATTTTGCAGAAGTACAAAGTGGGAGTATTCACCCTACATTTTTACTGATACTCAAGACAACTCAATTCTCTGTAAAAGATTTTGTAGAGCTCACATTATTTTTTCCTTGAAAAGTTTGGTAGAATTTGCCAATAATACCACTTAGGCCATCAGTTTATTCTATTTGTATTTTCCTGAAAGCATTCAAACTGTGAATTCAATGTATTCATGCAATTTTTTTGGGTATTCTATTTTTTCTTCAGTGAGTTTTATTAATTTATATTATTCAAGAAATTTATTTTATCTTAATTTTGAAATTATGGAGCTAGATTTGTTCATAGTATTTTGGAACTATTTTAATGTGTATAGGGCCAGTAGTAATGACTTGGGTTTTTTCCTGAGATTTATGATTTATAATTATTAATTTCTTTTACTAGATTCCTACTCATCTCTCTTTTTCCTTGGTTGGGATGGATGGAGATTTATTCATTTTACTGATTCTTTTTCCCAAAAATCCAGCTGTAGATTTTATTATTTTTTCTAAATTTTTGTTGATTTTACATTTCATTAAATTTTACTGTTTGTTTCTTATCTTCTGTTGGCTTTTATTTTCTCATTTTTAATTATTTTATTTTTAATTGACAGTAATAATTATGCATATTCATGGAGTACATAGTGATGCTTCAATACATATAGCATACAGTGGTCAGATCAGGGTAATAGCATCCATCATCTGAAACGTTAATCATTTCTTTGTGTTGGGAATGTTCAATATCCTCCTTTCAGATATTTGAAACTATATAATACATTAGTGTTATTTTTGCATTTTTTCTCTTTTTATTTTGAGGGGAACTTAGATTACTGATTTGAAGTTCTATTTTTCAAAATAAAACTTGAATGCTGTACATAAACTATCTTCTAAGACTTCTTAAAGACTGCATCTTAAACCCATAGATTATTTAGAAGTGTGTTGTTTGATTTTCAATTTCTTAGGGATTTTCTTGCTTTTGTTTTGTTTCATTATGAACAAAGACCATACCATTGTATGATATCAATTCTTCTAGATGTGTTAAGACTTATTTTACGGTTTAGAATATGTTCTCTTTTTTATTTGAAAAAAAAAATGGGGGTTCTAATGATTTGAAATGCAGTGTTCTATAACTGTTAATTAGGCCAAGTTCGCTGATAGGTTGTTCAGGTAAAATATGACTTATTTTTTGTCTGCTTGCTGTATCATCTACTGAGAGAAGTGTTGGACTCTCCCTGCTTACTTGCAGGGATTTTTTTTCCTGATAATTCTATTATTTCTACCAGGTGTTATTTCACAGATATGTATTCTCTTTTGTAACACTTACTACATTCTGGGTTGTTTTGTCTTCTTAGTTAGTATTTCTAGTTTTGAAGTTCGCTTTTTTAAATTAATATAGCTATTCCAGCTTTCTTTTGATTAGAGTTTGCATGGTATATCTTTATCGTACATGCCTTTATATTTAAAGTGGTTTTCTTTACAAATAATTTAGTTGGGTCACACTTTCTTTTCAGTCTTTATCTTATAAATGGTATCTATAGACCACTTACTTTTAATGTGATTATTGATATAGTTTGGCTAAAATCTACCATTTTACTTGCTATCATCTATTTTTAAATTCTATAATTTCTTCTTTTTTTTATCTCTGAATACTTCTACTAGTTCATTGAGTTTTTGCTGTGTTTTATTTTGTTATTTTGAGACAAGGTCTCTGTTACTCAGGCTGGAGTACACTCATGTGATCATGACTCATTGCAGCCTTGACCTCGTGGGCTCAAGCAATCCTCCTTCCTCAGCCTCCCTGGTAGCTGGGACTACAGGTGCATGCCACCGTGCGTGACTAATTTTTTTTATTTTTTTATTTTTATTTTTTGTAGAGACAGGGTCTCACTATGTTGCCTAGGCTGGTCTCAAACTCCTAAGCGCAAGTGATCCTCTTTCCTTGTCCTCCCAAAATGCTAGGATTACAGGCATGAGCCACCATACCCTGCCCCATCAAGATTTTTAAAATAACTTTTGCTATATCTCTTCTACTGATGTTTTTTATATCCCTTTTAAAAATTACTTATAGTTGTTCTGTGGTTTGCAGTATACATCTTTCACTATTCATAATATACCTTCAAGTAATATTATACTGTTTCATACATAAGAATATAGAGAAATCTCTTCCTTAATCCACCTTCTCATCCTTTTTTTCTATTTTGTCACATATTTTACTTTTAGGTATTCTATAATCTCACAATACATTGTTCCTCTAATTTTCTCTCTTACTCTAAGCAGTCAGTCATCCTTTATAGTTACTGAAAATAAGAAAAAATAAATTTTATTTTTATCTTCATGTATCCCATTTTAAGCATACTTTACTTCTTTGTGTAGATACAAGATTTTGTCTGGTAGAATACCTCTGCTTAAAAAACTTCTTTAACACTGATTTTAGTTCAGGTATGGTGGCAATTAACTATTCTGGTAAATGTTTTGCCGAGTAACTTTATACTGTAGCCTTCAATTTTGAAAAAGAAAATGATGTGTGTAGAATTTTGGGTTGATAGGACTTTTTTCTTCCAGTACTTTAAATATTCTATTTCATAGTCTTTAGAATTGTATAGCTTTGGAGAAGAAGTCATGAAGTCATATGTAATTCTTATCACTGGTCCTATGGGGTTGGTGGGCGTGTGTGTGTGTGTGTGTGTGTGTGTGTGTGTGTGTGTGTGTGTGATTGCTGTCAAGATATTCTTTTTGTCTGTAGTTTTCAGTAGTTTGATATTTATTTTGTCTGTGAACTTGACATTTATACTGCTTAATTTCTCTGAGCTTCTTGGATTCATGGTTTTGCGTTTGTCATTAATTGTTGAGTATTGTTTGCCAGTGTTTCTTAAAACATTTTATTTTTGTATGCTCCATTGTATCTCACTTTCTTCTTGGTTTCCAATTTAATTTATGTTAGACCCTTTTAAATTGCTCCTGAGATCATGGGTGAGGCTTGGTTCAGTGCTTTATTTTTTGTGTGTGTTAGTTTGGAAAATTCATATTTTCTATTTCAAGTTCACTGATTCTTCCTTTGGCTATTTTGAATATACTGATAAGCCCATTGAATGTATTTTTTGTCTCTA
This sequence comes from Homo sapiens, assembly GCF_000001405.40. Taxonomy (NCBI): domain Eukaryota; kingdom Metazoa; phylum Chordata; class Mammalia; order Primates; family Hominidae; genus Homo; species Homo sapiens. The sequence goes on from NC_000002.12 coordinate 155,019,632, forward strand.
TTTGTTTTATGTGTAGCATTTCCCTTTGATTCTTCTTTCTATTTTTCATCTCTGTCCTAATGTTATCCATCTGGATTTGCATGTCATTAACTTGTAACATTATAATCTTTAACAATTCAATTATAGTTATTTGAAAATTTCCATTCTGATAGTTCCAACATTTATGTTATATCTGAGTTTAGTTATGTTGGTTGCTTTGTCTCTTAAAACTGTGTTTTTCTTTTGTTTCAAGATTTTTTCTATTATTCATAATTTTGTTGAGAACTGGATATCTTATGTATGACATACTTTGTTAAAAAAGATGTTGAATTTTTTTTTGTAGAACTTAGGAAATTATATTTTATACCATAAAATTGGCACACTTTTTTTTTTTTTTTCTGCTAGGCTTCTTGTGTCAGAGTTTGGCTCAATCAAGTCAGGGATTGGGCTATGTTTAGGATTTGTTGCTGGTTTGGCTTTCTGCGCTGCATGCAAAACCTCAAAGTACTTTTGTGATATATTTCATTTGTAGCGAATTTTAGTTTGGCAGAGGATTTTTCTCAATGTTCACTCTACACTAAGCTCTAGGTTTTGTTTTGTGGTGCACATTAGAAAACAATCTCTATGTGCCACAGTAAATATCCCTTCAGTATTCCCTTGTTACCTTATTATTTAATGTTTTTAGCCTAGTGGTGGGATGAGTAATCTTTGTTGTTGTAGATAAGTTTCAGTCTTAGGCAGACATGATATTTCTAGGCTTCAGAGATGTGTTTATTTCAGTGTTTTTTCCCATTGCCCAGCTATAGTTCTGGGCTCAGCATACAATCCTGCCCTTTTCCCAAATACACAGAGGTTGTTTTTCTGTTTCTTTTTCTCAAGTGCAATAGAATTTTGCAGTGCCCTGTGGAAAAATATATTTGTTTCTCTTGCTGGCCCACACTCTACATTTATCAATTCATTAAATTTTTCCTTGAATTACATTTACTATTGCCTGGGTGCATCTGCCTACGTATGTAACTGCTTATGTTCCATCTCTCATTGCACACAGTTGCCTTCCTTAGACTTCAGATTAGTTGTTTGTCCTATGACCTCAAATCTGTGATTGATTGTAGAAAAAATTGTGAGAGTGCAGATTGTCTCAGTTTGTTGGCCAGTTTTGTTTTGTTTAGGAATGCAAGATACCAGCTGTCTGTATTCTAAGAAACCAAAAGTCACAGTTTTCTTTAAATGAAGAGAGTAAATATCAGTGTATTAATGAACAAGATAATATTCTTAATGTTTTACTAAGATTTCAAATAGCATAATGACATGCCCCATATGCAGGTATAATAAGAGTCAATAAAAGTAGATTCAGAATAAGTGTAAATTAGCATAAAAATGTTTAAAAAGCTACTAATAACATATCCACTGATTTGAAGAAAATTATGTACATACTGAGTGAGTCCATGGAGAATACAAGCCCCAAAATATAAACTTTAATAAATGGAATTCTTAAATTCAAAATATAATGTGTGCAATAAAAGTTCCCTGAATTGACTTCAAAGCATATTGGAGTTTCAAAAGAAAAGAATGAGTGAAGTTGAATATTTTCTGGTTGTTACTAATAGAATGTAATCTTCAGTTTTATAAACTGAATTTTATATATTAATAAAAATGAGAGTTCAATATTTTCCTAGAAATTGACTAATTTTAGTATGCATAGAGAGAAAATAAATTTTATATACTTTAAGTGCTAATAATTTCCTTGCATAAATATTGATAAAATGTATGAAGCAATTAGAAAATCACTGAATACAAGTATGTGATATTGCCAAATTACTTTAGAAATATGGAAGAAGTCAAAATCTGAAAGGACTACAATAATAATTCAAGATTATACAGCCAAATTGGCACTTGAAAGATGTAAAAGAATTTGAATAGATAATGGAATAAACAGCTATATAGCACTTACTCTGTTCCAGGTCTTATTCTAAAATTTTTATACATATTATTTAATTTTCACATCAATTTTTTGAAAAGGTAATACTATTATCTCCACTTTACAGATGTGGAAACAGAGACTCAAAGTGAATAACTGCCAAAGATTAGTAAGTGGCAGCCCTAGGATTTTAATCAGGCTGTCTGGTTCCAGGCTGAAGCTCTTAAGGACTACATCAGGTTGCCTCAACAGGCTGAATGTCAGCCAAGAGTAATGAGATAGTACAAGCAAAAATACAGGATGGGAAGCTACCTCCCTTATATGGAAGACAACAAAGAGATCACTCTGTAATTAATGATTTGAGTTGGGGCTTGTGGGAGATATTGGCAAGGTAGGCTAAGCTCAGCATAGTGAAGCCTGTCTCTATTGTTGACGAAACTGATGAGAGGCTTTTTTAAGGCACAAATAGAATTTCCTGTTCCTTCCATCACTTTCAATTGATTTCTAGGCTAAGACAGAAAATGGAAATTGCATCTGTTTAAGTAATAGATGATCCTCTTTAAGTGATGGACTCAGAGCTCAAAAGTATCAAAAGAAAAATTCAATTCACAAAGCACTGCTTCACATGACACAGAACAAGCTGTTAGCCCAATTGGCATTTTTTTAAATAGAGCTGCCTTTTGTGACTCCATTAATGCTTCTCAGGGGCCATAGCCTGAAAAATCTAGAGTTATTTGTTTGGGAAGACTGAAAAAATATGCCTTTGTGAAACCAAGCTTTTCATAAGTAAGAAATGGCTTTATTGTCCTTGTTCTCTAATTATTCTAATTTAGGAGCCCTGATCTTGCTTTAGTGCCCGACAGTCAGCAAGGGGAAAGCACTGCTAATACCCACAATATTGATTTATTTCTAATAGGCATATGTTTTTCTACAGCCTGGACTTATTTTATCTGCTAGCAGGTGCCCTTGACACATTGAAAACCTTCAACTTATGTACAAGTATTAGGTATTATATACATATGTGTATAGCCATTAGAGTATACTTAAGTGACATTTTTACTACTAAAAAGAAGCTTAATAACCATATAAACAATATTGATTTCCTACAGAAATAACTATTTGAATTCAATTTTGAGAAGTTGTAATATGTAGCCATGACTCAGTAATTTGCCCAGCAGCACAATGTACTCAGCACTAAGCATTTGTATTAATGCCAATTACTTGAAATGGTACAAGGAAAAATGAAAAACCATCCAAGATCCTAGGGTTTTTCAACTATTTCTGAGTGCTATTTTGGTTAATTAAAAGGTAAACATTTTTTTCCATACATTGAGTTTAAAAACTGGTGAAAAGAGCTAAAAACCAGTGTCAGGTAAAAATCTATAGTGAGAATTTATCTCTCCTTGCTAAGATCAGGAAAGCTTTTTACTCTAAACTATAAAACTAAGGTGATTTTAGTGCTTAGCATGTCAGTCTTAGAATAGTAACTCAACAAATAATTATTGAACAAATATATTGATGAAAAGGATATGTAAAAATACATGAGGCCTCAGTTATAAATACTCACATCACTAATAATGCAATTTCTTACCTAGGCTTCAGGGCTAATAAAATTGACTCTCCCACAGTGATAAGGACCATATTTCTCTAGTAGCATCAAATTATTGCTGAGAGCAATATTCATGATTTTGCTGAAGGCCTTTGTGTAACCTTTGTGTAATCTAACTTCCTTAAACACTTAATTTCAGGAAAACGCCTTTTATCAAAACTGAGGCACTGCTTTTTCTTATAGAATGGAAATTGTATATCGTGCTTTGTTTTCTCCCTTTTTGCCTTGACTCATAGCAATCATATTAGTTTAAATAGTTCATATATTTGTTTTCCGTCTAACTTTATTTTTAATTTTGTTTTGTAATTAAATCGTTATTTATCTTTATTATAAGCTAATTTTAGCCAGTACTCACTGTGTTATACTATTTTTTATCTAAATTATTCTGTTTCACTCTATCCTGTGAGGCCATAAATGGGAACTTGATTTACAGGAGATTCTGTATTATGTAAGCAATTAATTTCAGTCATTTCAGGAATTATTTTTCCTACCTTATTTTAATCGTACTTAAAATCTACAGAAAAACAAGTTCATAATTATAACAATTCTAGGGAGTATTATGATCATATTTATAAATCAGGCTTGTTTGTGGTCATAAAATGGTTTCAATTATAACTGATTTAAATTTAATAGCTTCTTCATGAGAACCTGAATTATGCTGAATACTGTCAGTAAGCCCTTCTGATTCAAAGATGAATATGACATGGTTGCTACAATAATAAGTAAACAATTGCACCCAGTCCAATCCTGCACGACTAGATGCAATCTTTTTGAGTCACTTTACAAGTGTTAAATATTCACCTTTTAATATGCATGCTGACAATACTTCCCCTTGTGCTACAAAAACTAAGCACAATAAAATAAAGGTTTATGCCATAAAAATATGTCTTTGCTTCCTTTTTTCAGTCTTTCTAAATTCCATGTGAAAGTTTCTGTGTCTTGGCGTTCGATTCTCTAAGAAATTTCATTTAGAGAGATGAAATGATTACTAAGTTTCATTAGAGGGTTTCCCTTACATGTAAATAAATGTTTCAAAGGTCTTAAAATTTGACAATTCATAATAAATAGTACAACAGTAGAATTAATTAATTAAACAGAGACCTGTATGGCATGTTGCTTTGCTTTTCAACATTTTGCATTTAGTGTATGGAATGATATACCATGCAAACGATTCAACTGGATAATTTCCAGTTTTCCTTCTAGAGTAACTCTGCTGTATATGACTACAATTTTAATGGGGTTTGAAAAGAATAACGAGAAGAGAACCAGAAATGCTGCATTGTTAAATCCATAGAAGATGCTGAAAAAATAATAAAATCAACAATTATATTTATCCCGTTGTTATAAGGGAAAAAAATACCAGAAATTCAACAGAGTTTCTTTCACAAATACTATTATGTTTATGTGCTTACTCTGTTAATGGTAATAATAAATTAGCATTTTGTTTTTCTGACATGCTTCTGCATTTCACACATAACAAGTATGCAATCTCATAAAATTATTTGCAAGAATGCTTTTTTTTTAATTAAAATGAATGTTTTAGTGACTGGTATGCTAGAATTCAAGTTTAATTCTTAAAGGCACATACAACAAATTATGTTTGGGAAAATTTGACTTTCATTTATCAAAGTTAAAATTCTACTTCTCAATTTACATATATTTTGATTATGACATAATTTAATTCTTTTTTTTTTTTTCAAACTTCTTTTTTTAGGTCCAAGGGATCCATGTGCAGGTTTGTTACACGGGTAAATTGTGTGTTGCTGAGGTTTGGTGTAAGAATGATCTCATCGGCCGGGGGTAGTGGCTCATGCCTGCAATCCCAGCACTTTGGGAAGCCGAGGTGGGCGGATCATGAGGTCAGGAGTTTGAGACAAGCCTGGCCAACATAGTGAAACCCCATCTCTACTAAAATTACAAAAAAGTAGCTAGCGTGGTGGTGGGCGCCTGTAATCCCAGCTACTTGGGAGGCTGAGGCACGAGAATCACTGGAACCCGGGAGGGGGAAGTTACTGCAGTGAGCCGAGATTGTGCCACTGCATTCGAGCCTGGGTGACAGTGCGAGACTCAGTCAAAAAACAAACAAAAAAAATCCCATCACCCCCTCACCCAGGTAATGAGCATTGTACCTGATAGTTACTTTTTCAAACCTAGCTCCCCTCCTTCCTTTTCCCACTGAGTAAGTCCCCATTGTCTATTGTTCCCATCCTTATGTTCATGTGTTTTCAATGTTTAGCTCCGACTTTCAAACGAGATCATGCAGCTAGGTTTCTAAGGGAACATCTAATATCAACGGCAATACTGCTTAAAAACTGTTCAAGATTCATCAGTGACACAAGGATTTATTTATTATTATTTTCTATAACACTGATGGTCTTCTATTTCTCTCTACATAGTACATTGAAATGCATTTCACATTATATTACTTAGTCTAAACTACTATTTTCCCCATTATTTTATATTACTACCAGTTTACTTTATATTGCCAAGGTTCTCATAAAGAAAGTGGAATTGCATAAGGTTCACTGATTTTTTGGGGAGAACACAGCAACCACAAGCTTCGAAGACAGAAAGGGCTCAACATTTCTGAAGAGTTTATCTCAAGGATTCCCTCAGAACTTACCTCTCTTAAGAAGTGATCTGCTTTAGATGTTTGAATTTAATCATCCAAGGAGACCCTATGTATTATTTGGAGGTTAAACTAGTCCTGAATTTGGACTCCTGAGTATTGAATTAATCCTTGAGAAAGATTTTCAGTCCTATTAATAGCATAAACGGTTTTCTAAATCTTTTTTTTCCTAGACACATCTAGGTCATATTGGAACTGCAATAAAATCCCTTGTTTTCCAGGAAAACAATTCTGCACTTTCGGAGAGAGATTAAGTAGTGTAGGAAGGCAAAAATAAAGGAGTCCACTTTCTTAAACTGTTAAATCTATACATTTGTATATATGGATCACAACATGCAAGGCCCTGATTGAAACTGTTTTTTTTTTTTTTTTTTTTTTGCTGTTGTTTCTTTATACACAAGTTATCTAAAAGGGACCAATTTTGCTCATTGCATTTACTCTTTACAACTGACTCCACTCCCAGCATCATCAGGGACAACTAGAAAACAAGGAGATCACATTTAAGTTACTGACAACCATTAAAATATTTTACTATTACATTTATATTCCCCACAATTCAGGAAATAACAATCCACAATGACTTTGTGGAAAGTGGCATGTAGTGTTGAGAGGACGAGGGGTTGAAGGTGTAATGGTGGAGGGTGACAAGAAATAAATATTTCATAAGTACATTTAAAAGACTTGAAATCTCTACTCTTGTAATTTCTGACCTTTCCAGAATCCTAAGCCAAATAAAGGGGAGCCATGGCCTCATTCTAACTTCTAACTTTCAATAATCTGTTTTTGTTAGACTTATTGCCCTACAGATAGGTAAAAATGAAGAAAGAGAGTAAGTTCCCTTTAATACAGTGAAAAAAATTCCTTAAGTGTCTTCCTTAAATACTTCACCAAATTAAAATTTTCTTCATCTGATTCCACTATATGAAGCTGATATATAATTTTTTAAGGACTCACACAAATATTTTCAGTTCCCATAGAATTATTTTACCTCATGTCTCCTGACAGCATCATGCACACAAACACACACAGAGAGTTGTTTAGTATTTGGGAGAAAATTGATGCCTAAGAGCCTCTTGTTGCTATTTTGGGTATTGCCTGCTGTCCCAGTACTAGTGCCAGCTTGTATCCACTAGCAAATAATGCAATGTTTTGAGGCAAAAATCTCTATTTGCATTTTGAGTTTTCTCATTTCACAATTTCACTAATAATTGTGAAATATTTACAGCACTGTTTGGATCAAGTTACCTGAGGGAAAAACATTTCTGCCAGGCACATTTCCATATAGGCAGCATCACTTTTCACCAAAAAATAAAAAATAAAACCTTCCTGGAAAATAGGTCATTATGTGAATTGCCATGAAAAGCACAGTGTTTTCCTCGAAGATTAATGTGGTTGTATTTCTGACCAAATGGTTTATGTTCAATAAACTTTTATATTGATTTTAAAAGAATAAATTTATACCAATTCTTTTAAATGAACCATAAAGCTTAACATAAGCTTCAATGTGCTATGGACTATGTATTGTTCACAAAAATAAACTTCTATTGTATCGTGTATATAACTAGCCTAATGTTATTCTATTACTCTGGGTATAATAAGCACTTGATACATTTTTATTATCATATTAAGAGCTTTAAAGAATATGTTTGCCATCTCATGACTTATATAGAATCCTTGAGATCATTTTGATAATAAATTCTCATTAAAATACTGTTCAATCAAGTCACAACTGACAATTTAATTTTCTATAAGTACATTTCATTATGCACACTTTGAATTTACATCTTACAAAAGGCTTATCTAGTTATAGTTTACACAGCCTAGCACTCAAAAAAAATGTGAGTGCTTGGGCACAATGTCATTTTATTATCCATTCTAATAGTGTTTTAATTTGTAGGTTTAAAAGATACATATTTATTATAATCATTCATATGATTTGTTTGGTTAATAATTTTATTATTTGTTTCTGTTTGTTTTCTTTTATTCCTATTCCTTTCTCCCTCTTTCTTTCCTTTTTTTTTTTTTTTTTTTTAATTTGAGGCAGGGTCTCACTCTGTTGCCCAGGCTAGAGTGCAGTGGTGCAATCATGGTTCACTCACCGCAGTGTTGACCTCCCCGGCTCCAGCAATCCTCTTACCTCAGCCCCCTGGGTAGCTGGGACCACAGGTGCACATCACCTTGCCCAGATAAATTTTTAATTTTTTTGTTGAGATAAGGTCTCACCATGTCTCTCAGGCTGGCCCCAAACTCCTGGGCTCAAGCAATCCTCCCGCCTCTGCTTCCCAAAGTGCTGGGATTGAGCTACCATGTCTGGACTTCCTTCTTTTTATGTTATTTGAACAATGTTTAGAATTACAGTTTAATTTTCTATTTTGTTTTTTACTGTATCTCTTTATATAGGTTTTAAAATTTGTATCATTATGGATTAAACTGCAAATAATTAGTTTTTCATATTCCAATTAGAGTCAGTATTTTCCCCTTCAAATATAGTTTATGTAGAATTCTGAATCACCATCTAGTTCCCCTTACCTTGTACCCTTTATATTATATTATTTTCTGTATTATTTCTATAAACAATAAAAACCCATTAAAGTATAATTTTTTTTGCTTTTAACACTCAAACATATTTTAAATATCTTAAGAGAAGAAAAATCCATTATATTGACTCAGATATATATCATTTTGGTTGTTCTTTCTTGGTTCCTAATTTCCAAGTTTCCTTCTGGAGTCATTTCTATTGTATATACAAAGCTTTCTGTAGCAATTAAAGCACATCTGCTGACAAAAAAAAACAAAACAAAACAAACAAAAAACCCCTTCATTTTCTTTGTCTTCATCTCATTCATGAAATTTGTTTTCATTAGATATAAAAATCTGGATTGGTTTTTTTTTTTTAAAACACTTTACTAATATCATACCACTTCCTCCTGGCCCCCAGTTTCTGATGGAAAATCCAGTAACTCAAATTGTTGTTCTTGTATTTCCTAGTTTTACACTTTTTACATTTTGGACAAGATAATTCTTTGTTGTATATATGTGGTTGGGGGGGGATTTGGGGGTGTTCTGTGCATTGTAGGATGTTAAATGATGTCTCTGCCCTCTGTCCATTCTCCTCCTAAGTCATAACAAACACGTGCCCAAACATTACCTTTGAGGGAACAATTGCCCCCTGTTGAAAACCATTGCTCTACAGATAACGTATTAAGTCCTCTAGATGTTTTAAAGACTCTTCCTTGTCATAGTATTTAGCAGTTACATAATAATTTATTTCAGTTAGGATTTCTGTTGGTTCCACATTTGGGTATATCTGAGTGGTTATAGGTTTATGTCTTTCACCATGTTTTCAGCCATTACATCTTCAAATACTTCTCAGCACTGACATTTTTCTCCTCTTCTAGATTGTGATGACACAAATGTTAGATTTTATGTTGTTTTCCCATATGTCCCTGAGACCCTAATCATTTTTTTCTCAATAGTGCTTTGCTTTGCAGTTTGTTCACTTTGTTTGATTTTCAAGTTCAATTGCCAAGTTTGCTGATCCTTTGATATCTCAATTGTGCTACTGTGCCCGTCTTGTGAGGTTGTTTTATCTTATTATTGCATTTTTCAGTTCTCAAATTTTTATTTGGTTTTCCTTTGTTTTATTTTACTGCTAAGTGTTTTTAATCTTCCATTCAAGAGTCCATCTTCTTTTTACAATTGCTACTTTTAAGTCTTTTTCAGATAATTCTTACATCTGTGTCATCTCCCACTTCGTTATCTTTTCCCATGAGAATTTCCTGACTCTTTCTATCCAGAGGAGTTTTTTATTCTATCCTGGAAATTTTGAATACTATTTTAGGGGAATACAAGTCTTAATTAAATCTTATAGAGGATATTTATATTTTTTGTTAGGTGAAGCCCACAAGTTCCAACTCACTTCCTGTGGGCTGTGGTGCTAACGCTTGTTCCATTTTCAAAGTATTTTCTCTGCTCCTAGGATCTGTCTCTCTCAAATGTGTAACTCAGCGATTTTGCCAGGGTGAATAATGTCCCTCATATATATCCATGTCCTAATTCCTAGAACCTGTGATGTTACTCCATATGGCAGAGGGGATCTGGCAGATGTGGTAAAGTTAAAGACTTCAAGAAAGGGAGATCTTGATTATTCAGATGGGCACTAAATGCAACCACAACTCTCCTTATAAGTGGGAGGCAGAGGGAATTTGGACTACAGCAATAAGAGATGCAATGAGAAAAGCAAGTGACTGGAGTGATATGTTATGGCCAAGGAATGCCAAGAAAGGGTGGCAAGAAGTTGGAATAGGCAAAAGATGAATCTCCCCTGGTCCTCTAGAGGGAACCAACTATGCCAACCCATTTATTTTAGCTTCTTACGACTTCTCACTTCCAGAAATATAAGACAATAACTTTATGTCTTTTTAAACTACTTTGTTATACTTCGTTAAAGCACATAGGAAATTAATAAAATGACCATACTGGCATCTGAAGTTTATCCCTTTTAATACAGATTTCAAATCCTTTGGTATGTTGATCAGCATCAGATCTACACATGCTCCATTTAGAATGAGCCAGGGAGCTCACAGACAAATTTTGGGGTTAGTTTTTTCCCATCTTCTTTATCTCTGTATAATCTCCCTGATATTTGCTGGTTTCTTTTGGCCCTCTGGGTAGAAAAATGTGTGCTTTAGTTATCTTGCTCTGCTGCTATGACTCAGAAAATGCATACATATCTTAGGCCAAGCAGCAGGAGAACAGAGTGAGAAAAAAAGCAAATGGATGAGGGGAGTTGCCCCACACTCTTGGAATGACAGCTCCACCAATTTAAGAGGAAGACTAGCTTTCCTCTGAATTGGGGTTCCTGTGGCTCCTTTGCTGTTGAGGTCATGGACTCCCTAGAATTTCTTGGCAGCAAGACTGGAGAGAGTGGAGAAAAATAATGATAAATTTCACATTGCCTAAAAATGTTGAGTTCCATTGCCATCTTCTTGAACTGGGTTTTGGGGTCACATATACCCTTCAATGTTTCAGTCTACAAAATCAAATCCAAGGTTAAACAATAAAAGCATTGGAAAAATCTTCCATTTCCAAAATTGTCTATAAACAAAAACATAATCTCTTGATTTGTACTATGTTCATTCAATTAAATTAGAAAAACACACCCGTATGACTAGATTGCAGTTTATTCAAACGAACACAACTTTAAACATGCTAGATGTTTTCTAAGTATATACAACATCATGGGAGATAGACTTTGGATGAGAATTATTTTCTGTGGATTTCCTAATTATTAAACATTTTTTTCTTTTGCTTTTTTTTTTTTTTTTTTTTTGAAACAGAGTCTTGTTCTGTCGCTCAGGCTGGAGTGCAGTGGGGCAATCTTGGCTCATTGCAACCTCTGCCTCCTGAGTTCAAGCAATTCTCCTCAGCCTCCCAAGTTGCTGGGATTACAGGTGTGCACCACAATGCCCAGCAAATTTTTGTATTTTTAGTAGAGAGGAGGTTTTGCCATGTTGGCCAGGCTGGTCTCGAACTCCTGGCCTGAAATAATCCGCCCGCCTCAGCCTCCCAGGGTGCTTGGATTACAGGCATGAGCCACGATGCCCGACCTAAAACATTTGATTCTAATTGATCATGTTTAAGAGAAAATAAGAGTTTTATTCAAAGACAATGGGCACTTTTTTGGTATATTTATTTCTGTTTAACATACTCTAAGTGGAAAAACTAGACAGTGGCCTAATATCAATGTAAGTATATTTTACAATCTGAACGGAAATTTCATAATAAATAAAGATATTAAGGCTGATATAATCCATCAAGCTTACTGATATTTATGTTTTCAGCTGTAAGATGATATTGGTTGTAAAATTATTTTAAAATATTTTGTTTGTTGTTGTTAATACATAATGAGATTTTAATTCTTCATATGTCCTCTAGAAATCACCAGATAGGGATCAGAAGCACATAGCACAGTGCCTGGCATACAATAGGCACTAAGTAAATGTCAAAAACAAAAAATAAAAAAAAACCCAACAACTCAGCTGGGTGCGGTGGCTCACGCCTGTAATCCCAGCACTTTGGGAGGCCGAGGAGGGCGGATCACGAGGTCAGGAGATACAGACCATCCTGCTAACACGGTGAAACCCCGTCTCTACTAAAACAACAAAAAAAATTAGTCGGGCATGGTGGCGGGCGCCTGTAGTCCCAGCTACTCGGGAGGCTGAGGCAGGAGAATGGCGTGAACCCAGGAGGTGGAGCTTGCAGTGAGCTGAGATCGCGCCACTGCACTCCAGCCTGGGTGACAGAGCGAGACTTCATCTCAAAACAAACAACAACAACAACAACAAAAAACCAACAACTCCATGAATCTGTAGCAATTAAATTCAAGCATACATGAATATCATCAAAAACAACTTTAGAAGTAACAGCTCATATACATCTATGACAACATTATCTCTTGGCCATTGCTATGTCAAATGTTAGTCTTGATGGACACTTAGAGAAAAATTTGAAGATATGTTAGCTACAGCTGAGTTATTATATGAATTAGTCTGAAATTTTTCTACCCCTGATGTAAACACTAACTTTGATAAAATCAAATCTGTTTTCAAATAAGAATCGTTGGAATAACTGGTACCCTGTTTAGTTGATAAATTTTGTGAATTATTGCAAAAGGAAATATGCTCTAGTGGGTAAGTCAAAAACCTATTAAATTGATGACTTATTCATTTATTCAGCAAATATTTTTAAAATATGTTTATGTTCTGGATAAATAAGGTATAACTTGTCTTAAAAGAGCGTAACAGCAGCTGAGTATTAAATAAATAACTGCAATGACTGTGATAAATACCTAAGCGTAGGAACAAAGAATACAGTGAATCATTCTTACTTCAGGGCCATAGGAAATCTTACACATATAAACTTCCTAGCAGGATCTTAAATGAGGAGAAACTTTCTAGGGATTACGGAGGCAAAGAGAAGATGGGGGACATTCCAGAAAGTATCTTGAAGAAATATGGCATACTTGGGGTATACAAGCTGTTCACTGTTCAAATGATCAAATGGAGGGGAGGAGCAGAGAGAGAAATAGGCATGGGTCAAATCACAGAGATCCTTGATTACATGCCGTGTGTGTGTCTGTGTGTGTGTGTGTGTGTGTGTGTGTGTGTACTTAAACTTTCCTATAGCTTCATGAAGCTACCTCTCAAATATTTATTCCTAGGTCTGGCCACTTTCTTGATGTTCAGACACACATTTCCAACTACTTTCAGAGCATTTCATATTGGTACTCCATCAGTGTTTTAAAAACAATGTGTTCAAACTGGAACTTATTCTCTGTCCCTCTCTCTTCCTGTATCAGACTCTTCCAAACCAAAAGCCATTCCACACAACTATAGTAACAAACTTGAATAGATAAGGCCCTTATCCCAAACATTTTCATGAATGTGTGTGTATTAGAAACATATTTTTAAAATAAGTTGAAACTTCTGAAACTGCACTTTCCAACATTGTTTTGACACAAGACTGGTTTGAAAATTTGTGGGAAAGAAATAGTAGGGAGACTGTGCTGATCACAGACTGGATGAGGTAGGCATTTTCTGCAAAAAAAACCCGATATATTCTAGGTAAAAAGATTTAATTTCAGGGAAGAGCAACTTGTTATAAAATTAATAAAGAACCCTGAATAGACTGTCACCAATCTACATTTCCATATATCTGAATATTTCTCCTGCCTCGACCACATGAACAAGCTATTCAAGCAAAAACAAACAAAAACAGGCAAGAGACAGAGGACAGAGAAAGTCAGAAATGCTTGGGAAAGAAATACAAAATCAGTTTGATTTACAATATACTATGGGCAATTTCAGTTATCTTTGGAATATAAATCATGAACAAGAGAAGGTTGGAGTTCTGTTTGTATTGCATGTTGCCACTGTGATACTCACATTGATTCTCCACCATAAAAATTTATTTCTGAACTAAATAAATATTCATCAATAGATATATTACAGAGAAAAAACCTGACTCATTTCTGAAAATTCATGCTGAGAGGAAAATAAACTAATTCACTATGTCTTGTGTGATAGTCATGCATTTTCATTTTCACTTTCAGGGTGTAACACAGTAAATGTTTGTCAGAAATAACACTATCAGGAAATTTGATTATTCAGGAATATATTTGAAGACAGTTGAGCCTAAATATATACAAAACAGTTTAAAGTGAAAAAATTGCAGCAATATATCTCAAGAAGTGATTTTTAGTTGATATGCTCCATTTTCTTACAGTTAAATGTGTCTATAGAAAAGAAATAATTAACCTAAATGTTTTCAAATTTTTGAATGTTTGCTTCACTCATAAAACGCTTAATACTAGTTGGTATACTTGTTTATATAATAACCATTCATTAATATGTTCTGCCTGTAACAAATAAACAATGTCACAGAACAATAATTTTATAAAGCAAGTAAGAAAGTTTTCAATTTTCAGTTTACCTAAAAATTGTTTCAGATAGGTTTTATCATGAAGTCAAAATATTATTTCTTTTGTGTAAATTATAAGTATAGATTTTCCTAATGATTAGTGTACTCTCTAGCACGAGATAAACTAGCATCAGTATTACTATTCTGATAAATATTCCTTATTCATATCAAATTTAATTTGGCTTGAGTAATAAGCCTTTATTTTGATTGTGCTTAGTCTTGATTCTCAGACTTTATTAAATAGACCATGCATATAATTTACTTTCTTTCCATTAAATCACTACTCTCTAGGTCATGAAGGATATAGTCACGAAATTTCACAACAATATTATCTTTATGAGATTTGTTTTCATCATTTCACATAAATTATATCTGTTTAGACTGTCTATTACTAGGTGAAGAATTTCTTTTGTTCAGTTCTGCTGTTACTTTTTTTTTTTTTTTTTTTGAGACGGAGTCTCGCTCTGTCGCCCAGGTCGGACTGCGGACTGCAGTGGCGCAATCTCGGCTCACTGCAAGCTCCGCTTCCCGGGTTCACGCCATTCTCCTGCCTCAGCCTCCCGAGTAGCTGGGACTACAGGCGCCCGCCACCGCGCCCGGCTAATTTTTTGTATTTTTAGTAGAGACGGGGTTTCACCTTGTTAGCCAGGATGGTCTCGATCTCCTGACCTCATGATCCACCCGCCTCGGCCTCCCAAAGTGCTGGGATTACAGGCGTGAGCCACCGCGCCCGGCCTGCTGTTACTTTTTGTATGTACTGATTGATGTGTCTTAAATGATATATATAATATTTATTTGGTGATTTATGATTTTTATTATTTTTTAGTTATTATGTCCTTTCAAGATAATTAGATTTTACAATTTTTACTTTGATAATTGATCTTGGATTCGATCTGAATAAATATATGGCCACATTTAAATATTTTGCTAAAAAGCAGCAGTTTTAGTCTTAATGTATTCGAAGGTCATAATTATATCTTAAATATACATATTAAAATTAATATATGTATATTTTACACATATTAACATGTTTAATCTTTAAAAATAAGCTTATGAAATATAGAATGATACTTCCATTAGCCAGATTTTTACCTGGAAGTAAAGAATATCTATAGACTGAAAGGAGTGCTTCAAATAGAGTAAGAGTGATATGCTATGAGAATACACAGGCCAGGTTTTCTACCCAGGCAGCAGGCAGATGGTAGGGGTGGTTTCCCAGAAGAGACAGAACAGAGCTGAATTTCAGGAATTAACAGCAGCCAACTAGGAGCAAATAAAATGAAAAGTCATTCCCTATTGAATGAACTGTGTATGTAAAACCACAAAAAAAAATAAGAGAAATTACAATATTCAAGAATTGCTAAGGCAGTTCTTGTAGACATAAACCATAGAGAGTGTAGCTGGCAAGAGCAAGAGGTTAGAATGAACAAGACATTTAGGTGCTTATATCACAAAAGCTATATCTCAGCATATTCCTGTGTTGAGGGAGTTACTCCAAAATTTCCCTGTTTCCTAGGTAGCCATATTCTATGTCCCACATCCCTGAATCCTCTCCAAAGTTGAATGGAGTAGGCAGAGCATCTGAACAAAGCCAGCCAGGCAATTTGTAGAACTGATAACCTTTTGGGTTTTATAATCTAGCCATTCTAGATATCTAGGAAATTAATATGCCTATCTCCCTTTATCAAAATTTTTAGTCAGCACTTACGACTGTTCAGATTTGCAGAAGAATCTTGAATGCATTGGACATGGACAGAAACTCCGGGTCTGAAAATAAAAAGCACAGAAAAAAATAAGGTGAATATGCATATATTGGAGATACTATTTTGTGGTCAAGGTCAAAAAAATTGAATTGCATTTAATAAGGAAAAAGAAATATTGCTCATCATCAAATAGTACTGAACAACGGGAAATACAATTTATCTGGCATTACTGATATATTTATGAATATCTGACAGCTAATTAAAATATTTTTAATGTTATTAGGGATAGACTTGGGCTGATATGTAGTATTTATGAGTTGGTCCATTTATAAAACTCTTTTGAAATATCAATCCATATTTTATTGGTTTAATTAGTTTGGATTAATTAGTTAATTAGTGTAGAATTCCTAGGTAGATTTCAAAAAAGATTGATACATATTTTATTCAAGAATCAATCTGTCTGACTTTCAGTTGTATAATTACTTTTCTAAAGCACACACAAATAATGAAAATACTCTAGGGGAGACTGGCATTTGTTATGTAACTACTAAATGATTTATTTATTACCATAAATTAATTAATTTTTAAAATGACTATAAGAGATTTTTATAATCTATAAAGAAAGAAATCAAGATTCAGAAAAATTAAGTAATTAATCCAATATCAAACAATAGAGCCTGTTTCTATACTGGTCTTATTTAAAGATAATATTTTTTCATATATCACTCTACAGAGAATTTCATTGATAAAATGGACATTTGTGCCCTTAAAAAGAATTATACTTTTTAAACATCATAAATTCTCAACTTTCTTTGAAATTCACACTGACTTTGTTACACGAAGTTGAACCCTCTTGCCTTCTACCAAAACCATAGTGCTACACTGATTTCATAACAGGTCATAGTTAGTAATATGTGGTGGGTTCTAGGAATAATAATTTATAATTATACTCATTTCAACTAAAATATGTTTAAAGTAATTACATAGCTGATTTTAAGTCAACTGTGCTCAACTCTGGCTATGCGTTATACTAGAGTGGTAACTTTAAAAATATATATCCTTGCCTAGGGCCCATCATACAGTATTTTTATCAGAAACAATGAAGAAGAAGAAAGCGCATCAGAATTTCATGAAGTTTTCTATGTGATTTGATTGGTCAACTAGAATTGAGAGTAGTACTTTTAAATTTGAGGCTTTTATTCAATATAATACTGGAAGTCTTGGCCAAAGCTGTTAGGTAAGAGGAAGAAAAGTAGGGCGTTCGATTGGAAAGGAAGAAGTCAAATTAGCCTTGTATACAGATGATATGATCTTATATGTGGAAAAAGCTAAAGACTCCACCAAAAAAACCTGTTAGAACTGATAAATGAATTCAGTAAAGCTTCAGGATACAAAAATCAACATACAAAACCAGTTACATTTTTGTATGCCAACAGTAAACATCCTGAAAACAAAATCAAGAAAGTAATCTTATTTACTACAGCTACATAGAATATAAAATACCCAGGAATTGATTTAGTCAAAGATGTGGAATATCTATCTACACAAGGAAAACTATAAAACTGATGAAAGGAATTGAGAAGATACAATGAATGGAAAATTATTCCATGATCGTGCATTAGAAGAATTAATATTGCTAACATGACAATACTACCCAAAGCACTTTATGGATTCAATGCATTCCCTATCAAAATACCAATAACATTCTTCACAGAAATAAAGAAAAATATCCCTCACGTTGGGAGGCTGAGGGAGACGAATCATGAGGTCAGGAGTTCGAGACCAGCCTGGCCGACATAGGGAAACCCCCGTCTCTACTAAAAATGCAAAAATTAACCCGGTGTGGTGGCACGCACCTGTAGTCCCAGCTACTGGGGAGACTGAGGCAGGAGAATCGCTTGAACCCGGGAGGCAGAGGTTGCAGTGAGCTGATATCGTGCCACTGCACCCCAGCCTGGGTGACAGAGCAAGACTTCATCTCAAAAAAAAAAAAAAATCCTAAAATTTATATGGAACTGCAAAATACCCCAGATAGGCAAAGCTGTCCTGAGCAAAAAGAACAAAGCAAGAGTCAGCACACTTCAAATATGAAACTACAGTAACCAAATTAGCATGGAAATGACATAAAAGTGGACACATAGACCAATGGAATGAAGTAGAGAACCCAAATATAAATCTGTACATTTACAGCCAACTCATTTTAAACAAAGGCACCAAAAACTTACATTAGGAAAGAGCAGTTTCTTCCATAATTGGTGCTGGGAAGACTGTATAACTATGTGCAGAAGGATGAAATTAGATCTGTATCTCTCACCATTTACAAAAGTCAAATTGAAATAGATTGAAGATTCTAATCCAAGACCGAAGCTATGAAACTACTAGAAGGACATATTGAAAGAACATCCCAGGACATTGGGTCTGGGCAAAGAATATCTGTGTAAGATCTGAAAAGGACAGACAACAAAACCAAAAATGGAAAAATAGAATTACACCAAGCAAAAAGCTTCTGCACAGCAAAGGGAACAATCAACAGAGTGAAGAAACAACCCACAGAATTAAAAAAAAAAATGTGCAAACTATCCATCTGACAAAGGATTATAACAATATATAAGGTTCTCAAACAACTAAATAACAAAAAACCCAAATAACTCATTAAAAAAATGACAAAAGATCTGAATAGACATTTCTCAAAAGAAGACCATGCAAATGGCAAATAGGTATATGAAAAATGCTCAACATCAATAATCATTAGAGAAATGCAAATCAAAACCACAATGAGCTACCATATCAACCCAGTTACAATGACTATCATCAAAAAGATGAAAAATAGCAAATGCTGATGAGGATGTGGAGAAAGGGGAACTCTTTTATATACTTTAGGTGGGAATGTAAATTAGTACAACCATTATGGGAAACAGTATGAAGATTCCTCAGAAAACTAAACATAGAATTACCACATTTTTCAGCAATTCCTCTATTAGGTATAAATCCAAAAGGAAGGAAGTCAATATTATCAAAGAGATATCTGCACTCCCATGTTTATTGGAGCACTATTCACAATAGCCAAAACATGGAATCAACGTAAGTGCCCATCCATGCATAAATGGATGAAGACAATGTGGTATATATACACAATGAAGTGCTATTCTGCCATAAAGAAAAATAATGAAATTCTGTCATTAACAGCAAAATGGATGGAACTGGAGGTCATTATGTTAACTGAAGTAAGCTAAGCACAGGACAAATATCACTTCATCACTCATATGTGGGAGCTAAAAAGGTAGATCTCATGAACATAGAGAGTAGATTGGTTGAAAGTAGATTGGTTCCCAGAGGCCAGGAAGGGTAGGGAGGAGTGTGGAATAAAAAAAAGTTGATTAATGTGTACAAATATACACTTAGAGCACTTTGGGAGGCTGAGGCAGGAGGATCACCTGAGGTCAGGAGTTTGAGACCAGTCTGGCCAACATGGAGAAACTCCATCTCTACTAAAAATACAAAATTAGCCAGGTGTGATGGCGCATTCATGTAATTCCAGCTACTCGGGAGACAGGCAGGAGAATCACTTGAACCCAGGAGGTGGAGGATGCGGTGAGCCAAGATCGCGCCATTGCACTCCAGCCTGGGCGATAAGAGCAAAACTCTGTCTCAAACAAACAAAAAACAAATACACACTTACACAGAATAAAAAAGACCTGGTGTTCAATAATACCAGTCGGGTGACTATGTTAACATTAATCTATTGTACATTTCAAAACAGCTAGAAGAGAAAAATTTGAATATTCCTAGCATAAAGAAAAATATTTAGTTACGGGCGCTCAATTACCCTAATTTAATTATATAAATGTAACAAACTATATGTACCCCCAACGAATGTACATCTATTATTATATGTCAACAAAAATAAATAAAAATTTTAAAGTCTCAATGTAAAAAAATTCAGTCTGAGTGATAATGTCCAAAATCTAACATGAGAGGATAATGTAACAAACTGATAGGTTTTTGGGTTTTTCTTAGCTTACTGTGCTGTGCAATGGCAACTTGATGCAGTTGTCACTTGTTATAATCTACTGAGTGAATAGATTCCCCTGTACGGGATAATGTTTCAAACTGTGTTGCTAATCTATCCAGTGTATGACTTTCAAAATGACATATGGCATTTTGCCATTTTAAAGCTATTTAAGTAACAACAATTCTTTCCATTAGTATATGAACAAAAATTTCAATTATTTAAATTATAGGTGCACACAGTTAAATTGCCTCTTTCTCGCTTTTGTTTTAATAAATGTACAATATGTACTTTATATAATACAAAATATTATGTTGTTATTTCAAAACCATTGATTTTAATGGATAAGTGATTGATTTTACAAAGTGCCTATGTACTTATAAACACAGATTTAAAGTAATGATATATGAGGAGCAATCTAATTTTCTCCCTGAAGAAAAATAACATTATTTAAGTGCAAATATATAAATAATTTAGTAGAAACAAACAAAAGGCAAGTAGAAAACACATGATAAGATCAGACATAGTGAATATAGCTATGTGATGTTTGAAATAGGATTGTTAGAGAGGGAGACAGAAATCTTTAAGTCTTATTAGCTTACACACTTTCCACTAATGTAGATGAAATCTATATGAAATTCACATGATAAACCGTTTTTATCCTCATTTATGCACTTTTTGAAACGTTTAAATATAATTCAACCAAAACGTTATGATATATTGCATAATTTCTATGTAGTATACTGTTATAATATCTCAAGATTCATTAGGAAATGGAACTTATAACTCATATGTTTCATAACTTCTCCTCTAGTAACAGAACAGATTACATATACAATATCTGTTATTACTTCAATTGTATAAAATCCAATATTCATATTAGTACTTCTAATGAGTTAGTTTTGTAAAAATAATATAAGGATTAAATACTATATATTACTTTAGTATTATACATATTATTAATATATATAAACATATTACTTCTTGAGTGTATTTCCTACAGATTAATTGTTGTTTATTGTGATTGCTCTGTGCTTTTCATATTCATGAATCTTAGAAATTAGAACTTGGGAAAAAGTAATATTTGCCACAAAAAAACATCTTTTTTATTATTTTATTATTTTATTTTTTTATTTTTGAGATGGAGTCTCGCTTTGTCACCCAGGCTGGAGTGCAGTGGCACAATCTCGGCTCACTGCAAGCTCTGCCTCCCAGGTTCACACCATTCTCCTGCCACAGCCTCCCGAGTAGCTGGGACTACAGGCGCCCACCACCGCGCCCTGCTAATTTCTTGTATATTTAGGAGAGACGGGGTTTCACCATGTTAGCCAGGATGGTCTCGATCTCCTGACCTTGTGATCCACCCGCCTTGGCCTCCCAAAGTGCTGGGATTATAGGCATGAGCCACTGCGCCAGACCAAATAACATATTATTTTCTTTATAAAAATGGTGATACCTTAGAGGCATCAACTACATATTCTATAAGAAATTGACATTAAATAATTGACTAAGGAAACATAAGAAATTTATAGGAATAATTACCAGTTACAAATTAATAACATAAAAAGCTCACCAAACACCAACTTTACATATTCATTTGTCCATCTACATATAGGATAAAGGCATTTATGTCCTGTAAACATAAAGCAACATTATGAAATAATGCATTATTTAGGGCATACTTTGTAAAAAGAACGACTGGTCTCAGGAAAAAGAAGTTTTAACATTTGAAGTTGCCTAAACAGTGTTATTACATGTTCTTTTTCTTTTCATATTTACCTGGCAATTGCTTTAAAATATTTTGATATGTTCACTTTATTAACATATTTCAACTGGAAGAGTTTTTAATTATTAAAATTTATTTCCCTGACTATATTTTTTCTTATTTCACACTGTTCTTTTAAATCTTACAAAATACTCCAAATATCTTTTTAAAAAATATATAAATATCAGAATCTACATTTAGAGTCTCTTTTTTCTTTGTAAGCATACATATATATTCACACAAACACATAAAATTAAATACATATGACAAAATTAAAGACATTCTTTCAGTGTATACTCTTTGCATTTGACAACAAATTATTTTTTTGTGTCTGACTAAAGTTTATATTGAAGAAAAATGAGAATTTGAAAGAAGGCACCAAGACAAATTGAATGTGTATTTAATGTTCTTTTGTATTTTATATTTAAATTTAATGTAATTAAAAAATTAAACCAATCACATTTAACATCATTTTTGGATAAAGCATTTTTGGTGAATGGAACTCTAGGGAGCGACATTCACCTTAAATGTACTTCTAAGTTTGACACCAAGCACACTATTTTGTCCTTCCCAAACAGATTCATGCATTTATAACTTCATTTATCATTGTTTTCATTGACTCTTATTAAAGTGTATTTTGCTAAGCCTTCATATTTTGAAGTTTCATTCTACCAAGTGAAATTGAATTGCAAATATGAAATTTTGTTGTGTATGTTATTTTTAAGAAAAATTATCCCTTAAACTGACCTTCTACTTGAGTTCATTTTGTTCAATCTAATTAGTCTCAATGAGATTTTGCCATTTATTATAAGCTAGAATGAGTCTTTTCCAGAGGGTGATATTATATAGTTTATGACAATGGAACTAACTATGGAACTAATTAACCATACCCACTGTCCTTTCTTAGAATTCCTATGATAGAGTGCTTATCTGTTTTTGCAGTACCACTTTATCTCACTATCTAAAAACTAAGTTGTCTCTTAGTTGTCCAGCTATCTTTCACAGCATCTCTGCAAAGATTATTCATCAAATACTTTAAAATAGAAGTTTCTATTTTAATTTGATTAGGTTTTTCCTGAATGACTAAGGATGATTTCAATATCCATGAATGTAAAACTGGTTGTAATGCCCCTTGATTCTGTCTATCTTGGAAGACAAAATGTCCAGCCTGTGACTTGTATAGAATAACTTTTCTGTTGTTATACTCTGAGGTTACCAAGTCACCTGAATATGAGTTTTTTAGTCACTGGATGAAAATTAACATGAGAACCACCAGAACTTTTGAAACACAACTACAAGTGAATTTTATAATGTTTTAGGTTTAAATATCATTAACTCAAGGACAATTTTAAGAAATTTTTCCATGTATGCAGCTGAGTCATGTAAACAAGTAGAGCTTACGAACACGAAAAATTCTCCTCCTACTGTTCACACTTTATAGGCAACATTAATTTTATAGGTCATTTCTCCTGCCCAGGATGCCAGACATAGAAAGGAAATTGACTGAAAATCTCACCAAAACTGAATATAATAAAATAGTCAATAAACTATCAAGAAAATAGCACCTTCAGCAAAAATACATCAGGAACACACCTTGAAGTTAACAAGTATTACCTGTTGCAGCGAGGGACAATATATAACATGGGGAAGATGCGTTTCTCAGTAAAAGTTATTAGAGTAAAACTTCCATAGTATTTGCACTTTGGTTAGGTAATTTATGAGAGTGCCTAAGGAAGCAGGGATTTGCTCTAAATTCAATGCTGGCATTAATTAGGGGCAATTCTATCATTCAGTATCTCAATGAATCTTACCTATAAGGAAGAAAGCCTGGAATGAAGATTAAACTGTATTTGTTGCAGAATTCACAATCACTCATTTTAGCCAAGAGAGGAGACTTTTTGAAATAGCTTTGTTTTTTTCTCTATTTATAAAAGTTTCAGAATATCCTTATCCAATCTTAGTATTCTGCAAGATGGTTTATGTCCAACTGGGGAACAAAATGGTCAGCTTGTAATGAGTAATACTGACATTTAGGTGGAAGCATCAGATCAGTTTCAGATAACAGAGGCTACTGTTATCTTTCTTATTAAGAGTAAGTCTTCAATTTCTTAAGACTATGCTGTGAGAACAACTAAGAAGGGTCGTGTCACCTGCCTCCACAAGTTGTCACTGTGGTTGCTGTCAGCCAGACTCAAGTCACAGCAACAGGCGATGTTATCACTTGGATTTCCATCACTTTATTTATTGCAGTGGGTTATTGTTTGTTTTCTCTTCATTGGCAATTATTTTTCCTTTAGAAGAGTAATTTTGCACCTTCCCACTTTACATGGAATACACTTTGAATGTTAAATACTTAGAAAATATAAGGAATGAGTAATAAAAACCACTTCTAATTCCACCATGTAGATTTGTTAATATTTTGACTTGCATGTTCCCAGTGCCCATGCATACATACACACACACCCCTCCATGCATTTATATACCTCTATAGGTAAAAAATTTGACCAAATAAATGCTCTTATATACCTCAAAAAGGTCTAACAACTGAAATTGTGAAATATTTGACTAGTGACTAAAAAATTAGTGGTGCCCCAACTGCAGAAATTTTAAGCTTGGTTTGAAAAGGGATGCTGTAGAAAAATAATTCCTGCTCATGATGGGCTTGTAGACTGGTTTCATTCTTCCATGTATGTGAGAGTATGACTGTATACAAATTTTCATCAATGTATAACCTATAAAGGTGAAAGCACGTTAACCAAGTAAACACACCCATATAATTACCATTTAAATAAAGACATAATGCAGTATGAGCCCCAGGAGTACTCTTTTCTTAAATTTTTAAATTTTAAATTTTACATTTTTGTGGGTACACAGTAGGTGTATATATTAATGGGGTACATGAGATACTTTGATACAGGCATGCAATGCATAATAATCACATCATGGTAAATGGAGTATCCATCCTCTCAAGCATTTATTATTTTTGTTAGAAATAATCCAATTATGCTCTGATTTTTGGTTCTTATGATGATGCTTTTTTGTATGTTGTATTAGTCCATTTTCACACTGCTGATGAAGACATACCCAAGACTGGGTAATTTACGAAAGAAAGAGGTTTAATCGGACTTACAGTTCCACATGGCTGGGGAGGCCTCACAATCATGGCGGAAGGCAAGTAAGTCACATTATACATGGATGGTGGCAGGCAAATAAAAGAGAGCTTGTGTAGAGAAACTCCCATTCTTAATACCATCAGATCTCATGAGACCTGTTCACTATCATGAGAACAGCACGAGAAGAACCTGACCTCATGATTCGATCATCTCCCATGGGGTCCCTCCCATAACACATGAGAATTAGGGGAGCTATAAGATGAGATTTGGGTGTGGACACAGCACCAAACTGTAAGATTCTTCCCCTGTCAAATCTCATATCTTCACATTTCAAATCCAGTCATGTCTTCCCAGCAGTCCCCCAAAGTCTAAACTCATTTCAGCATTAACTCAAAAGTCCACAGTCCAAAGTCTCATCCAAGACAAGGCAAGTCCCTTCTGCCTATGAGCCTGTAAACAAATCAAAAGCAAGTTAGTTACTTCCTAGATACATTGGGGGTACAGGCATTGGGTAAATACAGACATTCCAAATGGGAGAAATTTGCCCAAACAAAGGGGCTACAGGCCCCATGCAAGTCCGAAATCCAGCAGGGCAGTCAAGACTTAAAGATCCAAAATGATGTTCTTTGACTCCATGTCTCATATCAAGGTCACGCTGATATAAGAGGTGGGTTCCCATTATCTTGGGCAACTCTGATGCTGTGGCTTTGCAGGGTACAGCCACTGTCCCAGCTGCCTTCATCAGCTGGCATTGAGTGTCTGCAGCTTTTCCAGGGGGACAATGCAAGCTGTCAGTGGATCTACCATTCTGGGGTCTGAAGGACTGTGGTCCTCTTCTCATAGCTCCAGTAGGCAATGGCCCAGTAGGGGCTCTGTGTGGGGGCTCCCACCTCATATTTCCGTTCTGCACTGCCCTGGCAGAAGTTCTCCATGAGAATCCCACCCTTACAGCAAAATTCTGCCTAGGCATCCAGGTGTTTCCATACATCTTCTGAAATCTAGGTGGAGGTTCCCAAACTTCAGTTCTTGACTTCTGCATACTCTCAGGCTCAACACCATGTGGAAGCTGCCAAGGCTTGGGTCTTGCACCTTCTGAAGCCATGGCCTGAGCTCTATGTTAGCGCCTTTCATCCATGGCTGGAGTGACTGGGACACAGGACACCAAGTCCCTAGGCGGCACACAGCTTGGGCACCCTGGGCCTGGCCAACAAAACCACTTTTTCCTCCTAGGCCTCCAGGCCTGTGATGGGAGGGACTGCCAGGAAGATCTCTGACATGCTCTGGAGACATTTTCCCCATTGTCTTGGGGATTAACATTCAGCTCCTCATTACTTATGAAAATTTCTGCAGCTGGCTTGAATTTCTCCTCAGAAAATGGAATTGTTTTCTTCCATTGCATTGTCAGGCTGCAAATTTTCCAAAGTTTTATGCACTGTTTCCCTTTTAAAAATGAATGCCTTTAACAGCACCCAAGTTACCTCTTGCATACTTTGCTGCTTAGAGATTTCTTATGCCAGATACCCTAAATTATCTCTCTGAAGTTCAAAGTTTCACAAATCTCTAGGGCAGGGGCAAAATGCTGCCAGTCTCTTTGCTAAAACATAACAAGAGTCACCTTTGTTCCAGTTCCCAAAAAGTTCCTCATTTCCATCTGGGAACACCTCAGCCTGGACTGTATTGTCCATATCACTGTAAGTATTTTGGGCAAAGTCATTCAACAAGTCTCTAGGAAGTTCCAAACTTTACCACAATTTCTTGTCTTCTGAGCCCTCCAAACTGTTCCAACAGTTTGGGTAACAGCCTGTTACCCAGTTCCAAAGTTGCTTCCACATTTTCGGGTATCTTTTCAGCAGCGCCCCACTCTGCTGGTACCAATTTACTGTATTAGTCCGTTTTCACACTGCTGATAAAGACATACCCGAGACTTGGCAATTTACAAAAGGAAGAGGTTTAATTGGGCTTACAGTTCCATGTGGCTGCAGAGGGCTCACAATCACGGTGGGAGGCAAGGAGGACCAAGTCACATCTTATGTGGATGGTGGCAGGCAATCAAAAGAGAGCTTATGCAGAGAAACTCCCATTTTTAAAACCATCAGATCTTGTGAAACCCATTCACTATCACAAGAACAGCACGGGAAAGACCCACCCCCATGATTCAGTCATCTCCCACCAGGTCCCTCCCACAACACATGGGAATTATGGGAGCTACAAGATGAGATTTGGATGAAGATACAGAGCCCAACGTGTCATATGATAATATAAAAAAAAATTATATATATTAACATAATATATAATATAATATATTTGGATATATATATTTGGTTATCCAAATATATATAATATACATATCCAAATATATATAATATATTATATATTAATATATAACATAATATAATATATATCCAAATATATATATCCAAATATATATAATATATTTGGATGAAGATACAGAGCCCAACATGTCATATAATATAAAAAATATATATAATATATAATATATATTATATATTATATAAATATATATTAATATAATATACTACATATAATATACAATATATAATATATATTTTATATAATATATAATATGTATATATAATATAAAATATCATATGTACTTAGTTGTTTAAATTTGGTTTTTGTTTTTTATTTGTTGGAAAGTGTCTTTTGATCTGTTAAAGAAATATTTGCCTAATCTGAGGATAGGAAGTTAATGGGTGACACTATTTTTAGAAGGTATATTGCCTATCATCTATTAATGTAAAAGCCACTGGAATTTATTTGGGATTATTTCCATTTTGGATATTTTCATTTTAGATAGATGTCAAGACTCATAATTTTACCTAGTTATCCAGTTAAGATAGAAATATTTATTGATCATTACTCATTGTATGCATGCATTAAAATATCACATGTACCTTATAAATATTTACAAACACTATGAATCAATAAATAAACTGGTTCCTAGTCCCCATTTGGGACAACAGAATTTCAGAATTTTTGAGACATGTGACCTATGCAATGGGATTTTTCAACTCTCCCATGATATTCTAATATCCAGCCAGGGCTGAAAACTAGCCTGCATGTAAGCTTCATGAAAGAAGATACTTTTGTCTATTTCTGTGTTGTTCACAGATGTATATCCAAATGCCTAAAACAGTCCCTAACACCCCGTCAATGCTTAATAAACATTCGTGGAATGAAATTGAAAAGTATTTATTGAAGATTATCCATTGGTAATCTTTGCAATGCTATGTGCAATATATATCAACTGTTCATAGATGTGTAGGTAAATTCTATAACTCTATTCTGTTATATAAAAATTTTTTATGATACTTCAATATGTTAATTAAAACAGCTTATAGTAATTCTGTTAGTATTGGTTCTCCTTTTTTTCTTCTTTAAGATCGTCTTCATTATTTTTCCTCTTCTGATATGTAGGAATGCAATTAATTTTGTATTTTGACCTTGTATCTAGAAACCTTGTTAAAATACTTTTTAATTGTAAAAGATGATTTGTAGATTAATTTGGACATTTTATTGTTAATATATTAACTTTGAATAATGGCTTTTATTTTTGTATTGGTCAATCATTAAACTTTCATTTTCTTCTTCTCTTTTGTGCCAAACCAGACATTTAGTACGTTGATAAAACTGATGATTTCAGGAAGCTTTGTCTTGTTCTTAATTTCAGAAAAGGGGAGGATGTTTTTAATTCTTCACCTTTAACCATGATGTTAATTGCTTCCATCTGTGATTGTTTCCTTTCTGACTTAATAACTTCCTTCAATATTTGCATTTATGTCAATCATCTGGTAAAAATTTCACCCAACCTTTATAGTTTTCCTTCACTTTTGAAAGACACTTTTCATGATACAGAAATCTAGTTTGTCAGTTATTTTCTTTCATCACTTTGAAGATGTACTTATTCTGGGTTTTTTTTTCTTTATTTTTCTTCTGGCTACTTTCTTTTATTTTTTGGTTGCAAGCTTGATTTTATTTGCGTTTTTCTTGCTTAAACGTGTCTTGAAACTATGGCTTTATGTCTCTTATTAGTTTTAGAAAACACTCAGCTATTATCCCATATATTTTTTTCTGACTCATTCCACTCTGCTCACTTCTTTAGAGTCTAAGTACATATATTTTAGATGTTTTTATGCCTTGTCCTATACATCTTTTATTTTTTCCTACATTTAGCTTAATTTCTGTCAATTTCTTCCTTAGTGTATACAGTTTTCTATGACCTAACTTTTATTTTGTTAATAAACTCTTTCATATTGCTAAATTTCCAATTAAATGTATTGTGGTCCTAATCTTAATTTCTATATTTCTAAGTTCCAGATTTTCTATTTCATTCTATTTTATGATTTTTAATGTTCTTTATGTGTTCTTTGTCTTCATATTCAACTTTTTGTATATTAATCACAATTATTTTAATCCTCATGTATATTAACTTTAATAACAGTCTCCTTTAATTCTCTTTCCATTATCTGCTTATTCTTCAATATTTTGGTAAATTCTTGCATTTCTGCATTCTTCATTCATGGAAAATATGTATATAAAACCATAAAAATTGAAGTTCTGATGAATTTTATTTTTTTTTAAGACAGAGTCTCACTCTGTCACCCAGGCTGGAGTGCAGTGGTGCGATCTCAGCTCACTGCAACCTCCGCCTCCCAGCATCAAGTGATTCTCGTGCCTCAGTCTCCTGAGTAGCAGAGATTACAGGCACATGCCACCACACCAGGCTAATTTTTGTATTTTCAGTAGAGATGGAGTTTCACCATGTGGGCTTGGCTGGTCTTGAACTCCTGGCCTCAAGTGATCCACCAACCCCAGCTGCCCAAGGTGCTGGAATTAGAGGCATGAGCCACCACTCCCAGCCAATTTTTATGTTCTTCCAGAGTCTACTTATCTTTATTTTGTCAGACCTTAGCATAGGGGCTGATTACCCTAATCCAATCAGGAAATGATATGCCTGTTAAGCCCAAGACACTCTTCGTTAGTGGGTTTTAACTTCAAATTTTGCCCCTCAGACCCAGTGACTGCCACCTCAGCTTCTCAGCTGTTGCTTTTCCTTTGGCTTCATAGACACATTTTGAATCAGCACATGTCTAGAGACATCAGAACCAAATGTAGGGGTCAATTCTCTGCATTTCCTTTATCTTTTTAAATATGCCATCTTTGATATCTCTTTCATGCTTTTGAAACTCTCCAGTGTCTTGAATTCTTTTTTTTTCAAATTTTCCACCTTCCATAGTCATTTTCAGTGAGAATTTAGCCTGAAACAAACCGAAACAACCTATTCTACATTGCTTCGAGCAGAAATCTTTTTAATTTCTTTTTATTTTTGTCCTTCATAATTTTCAGTTTCAACAGATTGTATAATTGGTAAAATTTTATATGTTCCTCCACTATACTAACAAGAGCAGAAACCAATCACTTCTCAGAAATTCCCACAAAAATTTCAATACCTGAAACTGACTTTGCATGCAGTGCTCACTGGGGTCCAGAGTTGTAGAGGTAATGAGGTGATGGGTGCAAAAGCACCACTTGCTTCCACTTAAATTATTTCCTGTACCCAAGTGCCTGTACTATAAGTCCAAAGATCTATATAAAACAGTGATATCAAAAACAAATATTTTCCAGAAAGAATATTTATGAAAATTCTACTAAAAATAGCTCACAACATCAAGAACCAGAAAAAGCACAAACTGAATGAGCAAAGGCAATCAACTAATGCCAATACAAAGATATTTTATATGTCAGGATATACGGGGAAGTATTTTAAAACAGTCATCATAAAAATGTTCCAAGAAACAATTTTACATTCGTTTGAAACAAAAAAGTAGAAATCTTGGCAAATAAATGTTTTAAGAATAAACCAAATGGAAATTATAACGCTGAAAAATATAATGACCAAAATAAAACTTGATGGGTGGACCCAATAGTAGACTGGAGATGACAGGGGATAGACTCAGTGGTATTGAGGACAGATTAATAAAATTGACTCAATCAGGAATCTGTGCTACTTTTAAGTTTGGTAAAAACTTTACAGTAGCAAGAGATAAGTGACACATTGCCAACACGGGAATGCCAATTTGGATTATTACTGATTTCTAATCTGAAATCACAGGAAACAGAAGAAAGTGGAACATCTTTCAAGTGCTGAAAGAAAACATCTATTTATTTATCTATAAAATACACATGCACGCTTATATGTGTATTGGAGAGAGATATATATCCAGTATTCATTCTATCAGAGTCCTGGAATAAGAAGAGAAAAACAGTAGGGTAAATAGAATATCCAAATAAATAATAGATGAATCCTTCCCAAAACTGGTGAGACAAATGAAAACTATTCAAGCAGCTAAATAATCCCAAATAAGGTAAACCCAAAGAAATCTATATCAATACACAAAATAATGAATCTTCTCAAAACTAAAGACAAAGCAAAACAACTTAAAAGTAGCAAGAGATAAATGACACATTGCCAACAGGGGAATGCCAATTTGAATTACAGCAGATTCCGATCTGAAATCACAGGAAGCAGAAAAAAGTGGCACATCACTTTTCAAGTGCTGAAAGAAAATAACTATGTATCTATGTATGTATCTGTCAAGATAAAGATACTGTATTAGTCCATTTTCATACTGCTATGAAGAACTGCCTGAGACTGTGCGATTTATAAAGGAAAGAAGTTTAATTGACTCACAGTTCAGCATGGCTGAGGAGGCCTCAGGAAACTTACAATAATGGTGGAAGGTGAAGGGGAAGCAAGGCACCTTCTTCACAAGGTGGCAGGAAGGAGAAGTGCCGAGCGAAAGGGAAAGAGTCCCTTTTAAAACCATCAGATCTCGTGAGAACTCACTATCATGAGAATAGCAGCGGGGGAGACCACCCCCATGGTTCAATTACTTCCACCTGCTCTCTCCCTTGACACATGGAGATTATGGGGATTATGGTGATTACAATTCAAAATGAGATTTGGGTTGGGACACAAAACCTAACCATATCAGATATGTCTGGCAAGATAAATATACCTATGAATAAATATATTTGATCTTAAATATAAAATGTTTTATCTGGTAAAAATATCTTTTACGAATGAAGGGGAAATAAAAATATTTTCAGATTGAGGAAACTAAGATAATTTGCCTGTAGCATATCTACCATTAAAGAGTGGTTAAACAAATTTCATCAAACACAAATAAAACGATTTAAAAAAAGAATAGTGGAGCATCAAAATGAAGAAAAATGATAAGAGCAAAAAGATGGGCACACACAATAGACTATCCTTATCCTCATGAATTTTATACATTATATTTGATGATTGAAACAAAAATGATAATACTATCTGATACTCAAGGCAATAATATTTAAAGTAGGGTAGGGTAGAGTGAGCTTAAATGAAATCAAATTTCCAAACTTCACTTGATACTACTAGATTATGGTAAGTCACAAGGTATTCTGTGACTAGTGACTACTAATTAAAGTATATTGAAAAACACTATAAATCACTGAAGATAAAATTCTAAAAAATGTTCACACAATCCACAGAAAAGAAATGAGGAATAGCGGAATAAAAATTAGAAGAAACAAATAAAATACAAATAATAAAATAACAGAATTTGTAATAACAAAAACCTGAAAATAACCTAGTTGCCCTTAAATGAATGATATAACCTATGACACATTTATACCATTATGTACTTTTCAGCAACCAAAAATAACCAGTGATTAGTACATAGAAGAACTTTGGATGATCTCAAGAGAAAAGTACTGAGTAAAAATGCATCAATCCCAAAAGATTTAACATTGTATATAAATTCATTTACATAGAATTATTGAAATGACAAAATTATAGAATAGAAAATGGATTAGTTTTGCCATGGATTAGGACTTGGGAGGGTGGGCAGGGAGATAGGTATGGTAATAAAAGTGCAACACAATAGATCCTGCGGTTATGGAACTATTCTGTGTGTTGACTGGGTGATGAATACATAAATCTACACGTGATACAATTTCACAGATGTAAATACACACACATACAAATGAATAAAAGTGACCTTAGAAAATCTGAATAAGAGTGGCAGATTGTATCAATATCAATACCTGGTTGTAACATAGTTCTATAGTTCTGTAAAATGTTACCATTAGAGAAAACTGAGTAAATGGTACACAGCATTTCTCTGTGTTACTTCTTACAACTCCATATGAATGTACAATTATCTCAAAATGTACAATTATCTCAAATTAAAAGTTTCTTTAAATAATGAAAAAAATCAGCAATTCATTTCTATTTTAAAATAATGTTACCTACCTAAGTGATTACTTTGTTTTTTACCTAGATGGGTATTTTTGCCTTAAATTATTTTTGCCTTTTGTCCAGCAAAGAATTGTGCTATTTTTGTAAGCTCTAAATCAATCATTTAAAACGGTTATCAAATCAAGCAAAAATATAAACAACAGATTTTCTACACAATAGATCAATGTCACCTTGATCCTCTTATTTGTTTTCATCAAAATAGAGAAAAGTTGAGTGAAGTGTAAACTTAATGATTACAATGTCCTACATTTGAAGATTCTTGGGCAATAGCTCTAGAAAAGAGGGAAAATTAAGATCTATACTTCTTTTTGGTAGATCATATTATTATTCAAAATGTCCAGTCTCCCTTTATACATCTTGCTACAGAATAAGCATATATTTTAGATCACAGAATTGAGACTTGGTTATCTGAATTGCTTTGTGAAATAAAATGTGAGTAATAAAGAACCTGTAACATGCGCCACTTAGAAACATTAAGAGCCATCTCATCATCTGGCACATCTCCCTGTTCCCCCTGCCATCACCCTTAGTTTCAGAGTGAAGAAAATATACAGTTGATCCAAGACAGATCTGCCATAGCAAAGAGAAATAAACATTTTATTGTTAGCTATTGGAATTTGAGGACGTTACTTTGTTTTGGACTAATGTAGCCCAAGCGAACTGATATTCTTTAATTTGAGTGCTATGTCCAAGCACTTATATGGAAACTAAGGATTGATTCAGGCTCATGAATTCATGCATATACCTGGGGGCCACCTGCTCCACATAAATACCTTTTCCAGGGAACTTGACTCCAGTTTCTATAAACAAAATAATTTAAACTACATTTATTATGGAAATAATTATAATGTGTATATTAATGACCACCTTTTTTAATATTGAATATTTCTCACAGTTTTTGATAAGGCACTGCCAAAAGAAACTTTATTCATTAATATTAACTGAATAAAAATAGTTGTGAGTCTACCTTGGAGTTTTTTTTCTTTCCTGTCTACTGGTTGTCCTTTCTTTTACTGCCACTATGTTCCATCTCTGACAGCATCTTTATTTCTTCTCTTTGGGCTCTCTGTTTTTTTTGTTGTTGTTGTTTTTGTTTGTTGTTGTTGTTGTTGTTGTTTGTTTCTAACCAACTATGAACTGGGGGACCAAGAAAACATAAAGGCAATGATTGAAGTCAATAATTATTTCATTTGTGAAAACTCTAATTGTTCATTTCTCTTATGCTTGGATTCTTGGTTATGGTACAGATTTTGAAATTATTCCAGTTACTTACAACATTATCATATCTGATAGGTATTTGCATGTAAAACATTAACATCTTATAAAAACATAAATAAAATAATTTTTGATTTGTATGACTTATTTGAATATTTGCTAAAAGGAAAAAGAAACCCTCTGAATCTGCATGTGCAATCAAGGGACATATTAAGAAATCTTAGAATTTGAGATCAATTTCTTGAGGAGTAGGACCATTTTTTTCTATTTCCATAGAAAAATTATCATATTTCAGTATAAATTATCAGTATTCACCTTACAAATATAATTCAGTAAAGGACGCAGGCATACAAGGCGTGAAGTTAAAAGCAGAGGTTTAATAGGCAAAAGAAAGAGAAAAGCTTTCTCTCCTGCAGAGAAAGCGGGGCTCCCAAGTGGGTCTTCTGGCTACATGGTGAAATGCACGGGGTTTTATACATGAGCATGAGGAGGTGGTGTCTGATTTACATGGGGGACTAGAGGCTGGTCAGACCAGGTGGGCCATTTGCATAGTATGCAAAGGAGATGGCCACCCCACTCTAATCTTTTATTATGCAACTGGGTTCTCTACCTGGCTGGAATCATGTTGTCTATTTTACTGTACCCATGGTTGACAAAGAAAAAGGAAGATGGAACCTCCATGTTGAGTTTGCCTGCCCCCCCAGGTAGCCTTTTCCTATTGGTACCGCTGCTGGCTTTTCTATGTCTGCAGCTTGATTTTTCAGGCTGCTGTTTGTTAGAAAAGAAATGATTTGGGGGCTGCTTTTTATTAAAACGGAAACCTTGCCAAGGACTCTTTTATCCTCACTAACTGCCTAAATAATTTCTTTCTAGCTCCAGAATATATTTGTGAGGTGAATAATTTCTTTCTAGCTACAGATATTTGAGATCTGTATTCATATTTTCTCTATTTTTCAGTTATTTTGGTTCTAATTCATATTTTTTTCTCTCACTCTAACACACTTTCTACAATCCCCTGTGTTTACTGTAGCATGTCTTCAATTTATTAATAATACCTTTCTTCAAACTCTGGGGTCCAGTCATTTCTTAGTAACAATATTTACTTTGATACATATTTATGTAATGTTAATCTAACAAAGCTAAACAATAAATTTGATAATTAACACTTTCATGAGGACATCAATAAGAGAAGATGGAATACTGAAAATTAGTTTCCCTCTTGCAAGCTTTGAAAGAATGATGACACTTTCAACTATTTGACAAGGTTTAATTCAATAGCACGTTAATACTTTTTGAATCTAAGGTGAAAGGAAAGACCAAAGCATTTGGGTGAGTTTTTAGGAGAAAAAAAGACAAGCACATTGAGTCATGTGTGCAGCAGCATTCTGTAAAGTATAAATGTTACACAAAGCTATTATTAGAATCCATAAATATCTTTTGACAAAAACCATAATTTAGTGATGGAAAGGTGAAGGGAATAAAATAGCTAATGTTGCAAATATTGCTGTATTTTTAAAATGTCTTTATGTATTATCATAAACTCTGATTCGCACATGACGTTTCTCATCCTTCCTCCGTGATTCTCCTGTTCAGAAGTCACTTTGCAATAATCAAATTACCTAGGATTTTTCCCAAGATCTCATCAACATTTACTCATTTCTAAGTCTATTCCCAGGAAAAGACTAATTAAGAAGCTCTCAATTTTAGAGATGGACTCAATGTTTTGGGTTGTAAATAATAGAAAAAGATACCTACACTGGGGTAGTTTAATGGAAGAGAGATTTTTGAGATCTGCCAAAGTGTATCTTTCCTTTCAACTCATTGATTTTTTTTTGATATAGAAAAACAATATTTATTTAGAATTTTAAAAATCACAACAAATAACACATTAAAAAACTTAAAAGTACTAGACTGGGCGCAGTGGTTCACACCTGTAATCCCAGACCTTTGGGAGGCCAAGGCAGGCAGGCAGATCACGAGGTCGGGAGATTGAGACCATCCTGGCTAACATGGTGAAACCCCATCTCTACTAAAAATACAAAAAATTAGCCAGGCGCGGTGGCGGGCGCCTGTAGTCCCAGCTACTCGGGAGGCTGAGGCAGGAGAATGGCGTGAACCTGGGAGGCAGAGCTTGCAGTGAGCCGAGATCACAGCACTGCACTCCAGCCTGGGTGACAGAGCGAGACTCCGTCTTAAGAAAAAGAAAAAAAGAAAGAAAAAAGAAAAAGAAAAAAAAGAAACTTACAAGTACTAGACATCACCAAATCTAGAAAAAAACCATTATTTTTAAAATGAATTAACTGCCTGATATACCTCTGTGATATGGTTTTCGGATATATTGTAGCTTTATACCCTGACTTCCTCTTCATACGAAAAAGATTTTGTCCCATTATGCCTTCTACAGTTAATAGCTATTTCAGTCTTTTCACTAGGAAAGTTGATCAAAATTTGTTTTTATTATTGATAGTTTATAAGAATTGCTCTCTAGTCCACAGCGCATTATTCAGAAAGTCACTTTTTCTGAAATTGTTGTCAAATTTGAAGACATCTGTATCAAATCTTCCTCACATATAAAAGCTAAGATGTGGGAGGATTTCCCACATTCTGCTTTTATATCCATCCATCTCAAACCCCATTACCATTGAGTGATATAATTTCTTTCGTCTATCTTTGTGTCACAGTACTGAGTGGACCAGCTGACTGCAAGTCTTTAAGCAACCAAAATAGCTGTCACTATTACAATGGGCTTTAATGCTCAGAAACCACATAACTGTATTCTACTTAACTAACTCAATTTCTTTTTGTCTAGATCCCTAAAATACCCTCGAATCCTCCAATTCTTCCAGACACGAGGTGAATTACGACAAAGGGGAGGAAGTTGGAATATAAAGCGGCAGCAGTCTTGCCTTAGTTTGGACTGTAGTAACAAAGGATCATAGAATGGGTGCCTTATTAAAAAAAAAAAAAAAGAGAGAGATTTATTTTTCACAGTACTGGAGGTCAGCAGTCCAGGATCAGGGTGCCAATGTTGTCTGGTGTTGGTGAGAACTCTCATCCAGTTTCAGACTACCGTTCTTTCTTTGTATCCTTATCTGGCAGAAAAATGGTGAGAGAGCTCCTTGGGTTCCCTTATATAAGACTACTCATCTCATTCATAACTTAAGTACCTCCCAAAGGCCTCACGTCCAAATAC
Source organism: Homo sapiens (assembly GCF_000001405.40). Classification (NCBI taxonomy): domain Eukaryota; kingdom Metazoa; phylum Chordata; class Mammalia; order Primates; family Hominidae; genus Homo; species Homo sapiens. The sequence continues at coordinate 155,057,572 of NC_000002.12, forward strand.
TATCAAATTGGGGGTTACGATTTTAACATAAGAATTATGCAAAACCCAAACATTCAGTCCTTGGCAACTTTTGAGATTAAAATATATTATTTTTGAAATTTCTATGAAACCGTAAGAGCACGTGAACATGTTCTAGGGCCTCTGCTATCATGTTGGAAAGGGCTAAAGTTTTTTGGAATCTGCCTTTGAATTTATCTTTGGACACTGCTTCAGGAGGAATATTCACAAATCAGAGCACATCTCTAGAAAACATGTAACCTAGGATGATGAAGGGTCAGGACACTTTGTTATATAATAAACAGTAAAGGGACATGCAAAAACATTGGAAAAGAGATAATTCAAGTGAGTCACAAGTTTGTCTTTACTGCTTTGAGTTCTGTCAGGTAGAAGTATTTTGTCTCAGTATAAGGAATCACTTTCTAATGTTAGAACAGTTTTGACATGATAATAGAATCGACTAGCTTGTGAAGTACTCAGCTCACGGAAATTTTATAAGACAAGCTAACTAGCTTTATTTTTTTCTCTGACAATTTTAAAGTAAATAATTTCTACTTTTTTCAAGTTTTAACTTGATCTTTAAAAATATATGCCTTACCATTGTGAAAACTATAATTAACATCTATGATACTAGAGCCAAAAGGTATATTCTTCCACAATAGGAATAATGAAATCTCATTTTATTTTCTTTACGAATTATTTTGCTCTCTTTCCCTTTTCTACTCTTACCTAATTTGCTTGGAATTAGGAATGGACATTCTATGCCTTGAGTTTCTATGATCATCAAAGACTTGGCTTTTCATACTTACTACATTAATCCATCACATCAATGCCAAGGGAACAAAAAAATAGCCTGTCATGGTTAGATCATGGAGAATATTAATACTTAGTGAAATGTGCTTTTATATAGTACAGTTTTTCCCAGGCATAAAGTAAGGAAAATGACCACCTAAGCACAGTCTAAAAGCCTTATTAATGGTTTAGATATTTCTAAATATATCACATCTAGGTAGAAAAGATGAGTTCCTATTGAACTCTACAAGGAGTTTGAAATTGAATAATCCATCTTCTTGAGCAAAGGTGCAAATTCTTTATCCACTTCAGTATAAATTCTGAATTATATTATTTGTGTAACAAATTTCTAGAGTATGCAAAACTGATAAATGTTAATAAAATTTAGAGAAGCAAAACACTAAGTTAATCACTAAAATTTTTGTTGAAGGCAAAATTACTTATAAATTGAACAGAGGTGGGATAGACTTTTGGAATTTGTTTTAAGGAATTACAACATTCAGAAAAAGTGCACAAATCATAAATGTACATATCAGAAAATTCTCATGGGTGATCAGATACATAGAGAGATAGATAGATAGACAGACAGATAGTTTAGATGGATAAAATCAGCAAATAAATAAAAAAGCAGAGTATTATCCACTTTAATTTCCTGGTGTCCATGGGTTAGTTCTGACTTTTTCTATTTGTCTCAAAAGAGTCACACTTTATGAATTCTTTTATGTCTAATTTATTTTATTGAATCTTGCTTATCAGAATCATCCATGTCATGTGTGGTAATAGTTTTTCAAATTGTTATATAGAGACCATCATGTGACTCATAAGTGATCAAATTTTATCTTGAAAAATAATGCTCTTTTTATATACTTAAATAAAAAATAATGTTCTTTTTATATATTTAACTAATAAAAAGTTATATTTTTCATATCAGAGAGCTGATTTGTACAATTTTGATAATTCTGTAGTGGCTCTGGCAGAAACATGATTTTGTAGGTAGAAACATGAGTTTGAGGTAAATCCGTTTATGTTGGATTTGGGGGGACAGAGAAGTTGGCACACAGCAATCCTTTACCCATTTATCTCCCCTACTCAAGGCATTAAAAGGGATAATGTATCCTGACTGATAAACAAAATTATATATTTTACAATATGTCAGCAAGACAGCTTTAACTACACCCATTTCTTTTTACTAAACAAAGCTTAATGAAATGCAAGTGGGAGAGTGAAACAATTATTGATTTAAACTAGCATCAACACAACTCACTCCTTTATATTTAGTAGCAAATTATTTATGGAACACTTCAAAGTTCATCGTTATTAAATTATATATTAAGACAGCTCTATTTTATTTTAGCATATCCAAAATAAGTTAAAAGCTAGCAAAATAAAATGCCTCAAGTGTCGTGAATAACTAGAACAAGTATCTATACATTAATGAAAAGATGTTTCATATTATTTTTGGATAACGTGAGACAATGTCCTGGATAAAGTTATATGACAAATGAGACAAGGATAATTTATTGTATGTGTAGTTATATGCTTGGTTTGATGTAGTCCCACTTGCTTATTTTTGCTTTTGTTGTCTGTGCTTTTGGTGTTGTATCAAAAAAATCATCACCATGGCAAATTGTCAAAGGGTATTTTCCCCCTTTTCTTCAAGGACTTTTACAGTTTCAGTTCTAACTTTTAATCCTCTTTGTGTTAATAATGTGAGTGGTGCAAGATAGAGATTCAATTTCATATTTTTGCATGTGGATATCCAGTATTTCCAACACCATTTACTAGAGACACCATCCTTTTCCTATTGGAGATTCTCAGCAGCATTGTCAAATATTAGATGCCTATGTATGGATTAATTTCTGGGCTCTCTATTCTGTTCCATTGTTCTATGTATCTGTTTTATGCCAATACCATACCATTTTGATTACTGTACTTTTGTTACGTAGTTTGAGATCAAGAGTTTTGATACATTTAGCTTTGTTCTTCTTTCTTACAACTGCCTTGGCTACATGAGTTTTAGGGGGTTCTATATGAATTTTAGAAATGAATTTTTTTATTTCTTTGAGAAATGCCATTGGAATTTTGACAGGGATTCCACTGGATCTATAGATTGTTTTGTATAGTATGGACATTTTAACAGTATTAATCCTTCTAAGCCATAAATATAGGATGTCTTTCCATTTACTGGTATCTACTTTAGTTTCTTTAAACTATGTTTTATAGTTTTCAGCGTAAAGATCTTTTGCTTCTTTGGTTAAATTTTTGATGCTATTGTAAATAAGATTTATTTTTAATTTCATTTTTGGAGAGTTAGTTGTTAGTTTACAGAATTGCAACTGATTTTTGAATGTTGATTTTTTATTCTGCACCTTTACTGAATTTATTAGTTCTAACAGTTTTACTTTTTGTGAAGTCTCTCAAGTTTTTGATACCTAAGATTATGTCACCTGCAAACATAGACAATTTTATTTCTTCCTTTCTGATTTGGTTGGTTTTTATTTCTTTTTCTTGTCTATTTTTTTAGCCATGACTTCCTGTATTATCTTCAATAGAAGAAGAAAGAAAATCTTGAAGGCAGTCAGAAAAAATGGCACATTTCATATGTGGTTATAAATATGTGAATTGCAGTAAACTAGTTGTGTTAGTAAGGGTTCTCCAGAGAAACAGGGCCAATAGGATACATAGGGGATTTATTATGAAGAATTGGCTCACGATGAAAGCTGGGATGTCTTGCCATCTGCTGTCTGCAAGCTGATAACCCAGGAAAGCCAATGGTGTAATTCCAGTCTGAGTCTAGAGGTCTGAGAACTAAGGGAGTTGATGGTATGAATTCCAGTCAAAAGGCCAGCTCAAACAGGCAGGCACCAAGGAAAGGGATAAATTCCTCTTTCCACTGCATCTTCATTCTATTAGAACTCTTAATAGATTGGATGATGTCCACAAACATTGGGGGGGCTACCTAATTTATTTACTGCACTGATTTTAAATGGTACTCTTATCCAAAAACATCCTCACAGACACACCAAAAATAATGTTTAATATAGGCACCCCACAGTGCATTCAAGTTGATATATAAAATTTAGCAATCACAAATCTACCCCTTGTCAACGTGGTACCTATACATTCCTTAAATTATGCTTAACCTACAAATAAAAACAATACTGAGGTCATTCCAACTAATGTAATACAGCTATCCTGCAAATGATGTTTACTGTTCAAATTTATATCCTTAAATATTAGGATATGAAATTAACAATACTTAAATATTATGATGTAAAGTCAATATATCTTATGCTACACATGACAATTATAGTACTTATTTCCATAACTGGTCAAATGGCTGGCATTTATAACTGACTTCTTCTATTTCCCACTCTGTACTTCCTTTTTCCTCAGTATGCAACTCAGCTGGTCACTGATCTTTACCTGGAGTGGTAACACAAAACTTCATTCCTAAAGGATCTGAGCTTTTATTAGCCCTTCCTGGATTAGTTGTTGTAGTTTTTCATGGATGTTAATCACAGCACATGATAATAGTAAGAGACAACATAAGGGATCTCCTGTACTCCAGACATACATACTCTTCCCTATCTCCAATGTGGAGTAGTAGTCCAATTTCCTCCTGGGAGTCAGAATCAATCACCACAGCCAGCACCCTAACTCCCTAATTTGCCTGTTGCTTCAGAGGCATGAGGAGCCCAAAGTGGCTGGGTGGAAGTCTTAACATCCAGTTCAATGGGAACAATGTTGTATCTTCTGGTGGAAGCATTTCTCCCTCTATAACCAAGACATCTGAGCCAGTAGGGCATAAACTTATGGAAACAGGAGGCAAAAATTGTGCTAGTGTGTCACTAGTGGGATAATAGTGAGGGTTACTAATACCATTTCCACCTCTTGATTCTTGGACCTGTGAATCCTGGCTATGGTAAAAACAGGAGCATATACAGCCCTTAGGAGAATCATTCCCCAGCCTGGCAAGGTATTGAAAACTGGCTGTCATTAACTAATGCTTCACAAGACCATTCCACTATCTATCAAACCAGCTGCTTCAGGGTGGTGTGATTCCAATCTGAGTCCAAAGGTCTGAGAACAGAGAGCAGATTGTGTGAATTCCAGTCCAAGGACAGGAGAAGACTGATATCCCAGCTAAAGCACACATAAAGCAGACATAAAACAGACATAAAGGAGCCTGTTCTATTCAGGATCTCAAAGGATTGGATGATGCCCACTCACATTGGGGAACATGATAAAACCAGTGAATGCAATATGTATGGGTCCACTGCTGTACTACAAACAACGCTGCATGGAATACTAAGACAGTGGATAAGGCAGGCATTCTGTGAGTCCACAGATGGTAGTTTTGGCAGAAGTGTTGCATGTAGAGAAGACAAATACATATCCAGAGTAACTGTCTATTCCAATAAAAACAAAATGCTTCTCCTTCCATGATGGAAGTGGTTCAATGTAATCAACCTGCCACCAGGTAGTTGGCTGATGATCCCAAAGAATCGTGCCATTCTGGGGACTCAGTGTTGCTTTCTGCTGCTGGCAGATTGTGCACTCCATGATGGCCATAGCCAGATCTGCCTTGATGAGTGGAAGTTCATGTTGCTATGCCTATGCATAGCCTCTATCTCTGTCACTACGACACTGTTCATGAGCCCATTGAATGGTAACAGGAGTGGCTAGGGAAAGAGGCAAACTGTTATCCATAGGATGAGTCATTTTGTCTATTTAATTATTAAAATTTTCCTCTTTTGAGTCCACTCTTTGGTAAGCATTCACATGTACACAAATATCTTTGCATTTTGCATATTCAGAGAAGTCTATCATATAACTCTTTTCCAAATTTTTTTGTCACCACTTTTCCAATCCTGTTCTTTGTAAGTCCTTGTCATCCAGCCAACCATTGGCCATGGCCCATGAATCAAAATATATTTGTGCATCTGGCCATTTATCTTTCTAAGCAAAGTGAACAACCAAGTGTACTGCCCAAAGTTCTGCTCACTGAGAGGATTTTCCTTCACCATCATCCTTCATCCACTCACATAAGTCTATGTGACAAAATTTCTTTGTCATTAATTTGTTTAAGTTTTTAATTTCACTAGCTTTAAAGACATAAGAGGTTATTGGTTACATGGATGAATTTTATAGGGGTGAAGTCTGGGATTTTAGTGCACCCAAGTAGCATACGTTGTACCTAATAGGTAGTTTTTCATTCCTACTACCCTCCCCACTTCCCCCATTCTGAGTCTCCAATGTCCATTATACCATTATGTATGCTGTTGCAAATCCATAGCTTAGCTCCCACTTATAACTAAGAACATGCAGTACTTGGTTTTCAATTCCTTAGTTACTTTACTTAGGGTAATGTCCCCCAGTCCCATCCAAATTCCTGCAAAAGACATTATTCATTCTTTTTTTATAGCTGAGTAGTATTTCATGTGTATGTGTATATATATATATACACACACACATATATATACACACACACACATATGTGTATATATATATATATAAAGTGTATATATATATATATATACATATACATATATATATATATATATATATATATATATATACACACACTTTCTTTATCCAGTCATGGGTTGATGGGCACTTAGGTTACTTCTGCATCTTCGCAATTGTGAATTGTGCTGCAATAAACATATGCATGCAGGTGTCTTTTTGACATGGTGACTTCTTTTCCTTTGATATAGTGAATTCTTTGCTTAGTAGTAGGATTGCTGGATCGAATGGTACATCTGCTTTTAGTTCTTGGAGAAATCTCCATACTATTTTCCATGGAGGCTGTACTAATTTACACTCCTACCAGCAATGTATAAATTGCTGAAATTCCTTTTTCACCATATCCACACCAAAATCTACTGTTCATTGACTTTTTAATTATGGCCTATGGCCATTCTGGCTGGGGTAAGGTAGTATCTCACTGTGGTTTTAATTTGTATTTCTCTGATGATTACTGACGTTGAACATTTTTTCATATGTTTGTTGGTCATGTATATATGAAAAATATCTATTTCGAGAAATGTCTATTCGTTTCATTTGCACACTATTTAATGGGTTTATTAGGGATTTTTTCTTGCTGGTTTACTTGTGTTCCTTGTAGATTTTTGGATATAAGACCTTTGTTGGATACATAACTTGCAAGTATCTTCTCCCATGCTGCAGGTTGTGTATTTACTCTGACAAGTATTTCTTTTGCTGTGCAGAAGCTTTTTAGTTTCACTAGGTCCAATTTATTTATTTTTATTTTTGTTTTTGTTACATTCACTTTTGGGGTCTTATTCATAAATTATTTGCCTCAGCCAAGGCCCAGAAAGTATTTTCTAGGTTTTCTTCTAGAATTTTTATGGTTTCAGGTCTTTATTTTTTAAGTCTTTAATCTATCTTCAGTTAATTTTTATATATAGTGAGAGACAGGGATCCAGTTTCATCCTTTTACATCTGGCTAACCATTTTTCCCAGGACCATTTATCAAATAAGTTGTTTTTTTCCCCAATTTATATTTTTGTATGCTTTGTGGAAGATCAGTTGGTCATATTTTGCTTTATTTTGGGGTTCTTTATTCTGTTCCATTGTTCTATGTATCTGTTTTTATATTGGTACCATTATGTTTTGGTTACTACAGCCCTGTAGAATAATTTGAAGTCAGGTAATATGATGCCTCCAGATTTGTTACTTTTTTTTAGGATTGCTTTAGCTATCTGGGCTTCTTTTTGGTTCCATATAAATTTTAGAGTTGTTTTTCTCTAATTTTGTGAAAAATGATGTTGGTATTTTCATAAGAATTGCATTGAATCTGTAGATTGCCTTGGGCACTATGGTTATTTTCATGATATTGATTCCTCCAATCCATGAGCATAGCATGTATTTCCAATTGTTTGTATCATCCATGATTTCTTTCAGCAGTGTTTTGTAGTTCTTGTAAAGATCTTTCACCTCCTTGGTTAAGTATATTCTAGCTATTATTTTATTATTTTTTGGCAGCTAC